>NC_000001.11:56220501-56372016 GCF_000001405.40 Homo sapiens | reverse complement strand
TTGGGAGGCCAAGGCAGGCAGATCACCTGAGGTCAGAAGTTCGAGACCAGCCTGACCAACATGGAGAAACCCTGTCTCTACTAAAATACAAAAAAATTAGCTGGGCGTGGTGGTGTATCCCTGCAATCCCAGCTACTCAAGAGGCTCAGGCAGGAGAATCACTTGAACCTGGGAGGCGGAGGTTGCGGTGAGCCGAGATCACGCCATTGCACTCCAGCCTGGGCAACAAGAGTGAAACTCTGTCTCAATAAATAAATAAATAAATAAATAAAACCATGCAGGCCAGGAGCAGTGGCTCAATGTCTGTAATCCCAGCACTCTGGGAAGCTGAGGTGGGTGGATCATGAGGTCAGGAGATTGAGACCATCCTGGCTAACGCGGTGAAACCCAGTCTCTACTAAAAATACAAAAAAAAAAAAAAAAAAAAATTATCCGGCATAGTGGCACATGCCTGTAGCCCCAGCTACTCAGGAGACTGAGGCAGGAGAATCGCTTCAACCCAGGAGGCGGAGGTTGCAGTGAGCCGAGATCACGCCACTGCACTCCAGCCTGGGCGACAGAGCGAGACTCTGTCTCAAAAAAACAAAAAAAACCCCATGCAAAACATGTTTTCACTTATAAGTGGGAGCTGAACAATGAGAGTACATGGACACAGGGAGGGGAACAACACACACTGGAGCCTGTTAGGGGAGGGCAGGGAGGTGGGGGAGCCTCAGGAAAAATAGCTAAGGCATGCCGGGCTCAATACCTAGGTGATGGTTTGGTAGGTGCAGCAAACCACCATGGCGCATGTTTACCTATGTAATCTGCACATCATGCACATGTACCCTGGAACTTAAAATAATATTTTAAAAAATGCGAAACAATGCCACAAGTTTAAAATTAACTCTTTATGTACCATAAAGATCTGGCAAGGAAGAATACATGCTTCTAGATGGTAATAATTACTTCTAGGGTAGAGGTAGGGAAAGCTTATCGAGGGAACTTCTATGGATCTTCAACTAAATGTTTTAATTTAAAAAAATCTGAAGCAAACATGGCAAAATATTAACATTGTTAGATCCAGGTGGTGCGTTCAATGCGTTTGTTATACTTGTCTTTGAACTTTTCTCTGTGTGGGGGATATTTTCTGTGTATACGGGATATACACATACAAACACCTCGTTAACCCAGAGCTTCTTCCCCAAACCTTATCTAATTTTGTCCTCATTAAGGCCTTGGAAACAGCAATGAAAGAGAAGACGTTAAACTCTCGAGTTTCAGTGCGTGTCTCTCCTGACACCTGCTTTTGTTTTGCTGATTGGGAATGCTGGTCAGGTGGAGTAGAGATGAATTGATTTTCATTAGAAAGGGTCTGCAGCTATGGTGAGGGTGGGGTGGAGTCAGGGAAAAGTGGAAGAGAATCAGGAGGGCAAAGGTGCCCAAGTTCTGAGAAAAGGCTGAGGAACCCAAGGTTCGGAGAAGGAGAGTAATAAATCCAGTGTCCTATAGGGATAGAGCTGGAATCTGCTCCTGGTTACCTAACCTCATATTTAAGTCAAAGGCAAGTGTACGCTAGGGACAGGAGCATGAACACTGGATTTGGACAGATCTTGGTCAGATCACAGCTTTGCTATTTAGTGTCTGTGTGGCCTTACACACCCCACCTAATTCTCTGAGCTTGGGTCACTATTGCCTCTCTTAGAGTGTCACTGGGAGAACGAATAACATAATGTGTACAAAGGGACTTAGTGGGACCAGCACTCTTGGCATTTCACTCCATAAAGAATAGTTATTACCACCAGCAGCAGCATCATTCCAATTTGTTTCAGCCATTTCTCAATAACTCGTTCTTTTACCCTCTTTCCTTCTTTCCCCAGCCCAAATTGGGACAGTTTCCTATGGGTGAGAATTTGGTTTATCTCTGTCCAAGAATTGGTCTCAGCATTCCGATAAAAGCTACCAAACCGAGAGACAAGCAGAAAGATCACCTCCTTTTCTCTGGAGTCGTTCTTCCTATGAGTGCAGTCTGAGGTCTCATCAATTTTGGGAGCAGCCAAATCATATATTACTATTCCTATCAACTAAAGCCCTTGAATCTTTTAATATGACTTAAAATTTGCCCACCCTATACAGTTGGGTTTTCTAACTCAAATGAAGAATCTTGATTACAAAAAGGAGAAAAGACCAAGGTATTTAAAAAGAACTTAGTATTATGGAGGAAGTAAAATTGCTCTTATTTGTGAGTACTTAAGACAGGCCTATTTTTGCTCCTTTTGGAGTTCTATGACATTAAAACTTTAAGATCATAGGCTGCTCTGCCTAGGGAGTAGCCATTCTTTTATTCTTTTACTTCCTTAATAAACTTGCTTTCACTTAAAAAGAAAAAACTTGAAGACCATAGAGTTGAACCCAATATTCCTCCTTTTCCTAGTAGTAACTATTTCAAAGAACAACTTCCTTCTTTCCTACTTTAAATTTTATATTTATTATCATGATCTTATGGATTCTTCTTTCTTTCTTATTCTTAAGTGGACTGTGAATTATTATCACTATTCTTTTTGATTTCCCAATTGATTTGACCAGTGGGAATTCCTTCAAACCAATTCCTATGTTCTTTTGATATTTCGCCATCAATCTTTGAGTACCTCTTTGTTTTCTGACAACAAGAGATTCTCGACTTACCTTATATTTTCTTTGCCCCAGAGCCAGAATCAGCTGTTTCTCTAAGAGGCAGTGGTTCTTTTTTTTTTTTTTTTTTTTTTTTTATTATACTCTAAGTTTTAGGGTACATGTGCACATTGTGCAGGTTAGTTACATATGTATACATGTGCCATGCTGGTGCGCTGCACCCACTAATGTGTCATCTAGCATTAGGTATATCTCCCAATGCTATCCCTCCCCCCTCCCCCGACCCCACCACAGTCCCCAGAGTGTGATATTCCCCTTCCTGTGTCCATGTGATCTCATTGTTCAATTCCCACCTATGAGTGAGAATATGCGGTGTTTGGTTTTTTGTTCTTGCGATAGTTTACTGAGAATGATGGTTTCCAATTTCATCCATGTCCCTACAAAGGATATGAACTCATCATTTTTTATGGCTGCATAATATTCCATGGTGTATATGTGCCACATTTTCTTAATCCAGTCTATCATTGTTGGACATTTGGGTTGGTTCCAAGTCTTTGCTATTGTGAATAGTGCCGCAATAAACATACGTGTGCATGTGTCTTTATAGCAGCATGATTTATAGTCCTTTGGGTATATACCCAGTAATGGGATGGCTGGGTCAAATGGTATTTCTAGTTCTAGATCCCTGAGGAATCGCCACACTGACTTCCACAATGGTTGAACTAGTTTACAGTCCCACCAACAGTGTAAAAGTGTTCCTATTTCTCCGCATCCTCTCCAGCACCTGTTGTTTCCTGACTTTTTAATGATTGCCATTCTAACTGGTGTGAGATGATATCTCATAGTGGTTTTGATTTGCATTTCTCTGATGGCCAGTGATGATGAGCATTTCTTCATGTGTTTTTTGGCTGCATAAATGTCTTCTTTTGAGAAGTGTCTGTTCATGTCCTTCGCCCACTTTTTGATGGGGTTGTTTGTTTTTTTCTTGTAAATTTGTTTGAGTTCATTGTAGATTCTGGATATTAGCCCTTTGTCAGATGAGTAGGTTGCGAAAATTTTCTCCCATTTTGTAGGTTGCCTGTTCATTCTGATGGTAGT
This sequence comes from Homo sapiens, assembly GCF_000001405.40. NCBI lineage: Eukaryota > Metazoa > Chordata > Mammalia > Primates > Hominidae > Homo > Homo sapiens. The sequence goes on along the minus strand of NC_000001.11, from coordinate 56,368,308 downwards.
TTCTTTTGCTGTGCAGAAGCTCTTTAGTTTAATTAGATCCCATTTGTCAATTTTGGCTTTTGTTGCCATTGCTTTTGGTGTTTTGGACATGAAGTCCTTGCCCACGCCTATGTCCTGAATGGTAATGCCTAGGTTTTCTTCTAGGGTTTTTATGGTTTTAGGTTTAACGTTTAAATCTTTAATCCATCTTGAATTGATTTTTGTATAAGGTGTAAGGAAGAGATCCAGTTTCAGCTTTCTCCACATGGCTAGCCAGTTTTCCCAGCACCATTTATTAAATAGGGAATCCTTTCCCCATTGCTTGTTTTTCTCAGGTTTGTCAAAGATCAGATAGTTGTAGATATGTGGCATTATTTCTGAGGGCTCTGTTCTGTTCCATTGATCTATATCTCTGTTTTGGTACCAGTACCATGCTGTTTTGGTTACTGTAGCCTTGTAGTATAGTTTGAAGTCAGGTAGTGTGATGCCTCCAGCTTTGTTCTTTTGGCTTAGGATTGACTTGGCAATGCGGGCTCTTTTTTGGTTCCATATGAACTTTAAAGTAGTTTTTTCCAATTCTGTGAAGAAAGTCATTGGTAGCTTGATGGGGATGGCATTGAATCTGTAAATTACCTTGGGCAGTATGGCCATTTTCACGATATTGATTCTTCCTACCCATGAGCATGGAATGTTCTTCCATTTGTTTGTGTCCTCTTTTATTTCCTTGAGCAGTGGTTTGTAGTTCTCCTTGAAGAGGTCCTTCACATCCCTTGTAAGTTGGATTCCTAGGTATTTTATTCTCTTTGAAGCAATTGTGAATGGGAGTTCACCCATGATTTGGCTCTCTGTTTGTCTGTTGTTGGTGTATAAGAATGCTTGTGATTTTTGTACATTGATTTTGTATCCTGAGACTTTGCTGAAGTTGCTTATCAGCTTAAGGAGATTTTGGGCTGAGATGATGGGGTTTTCTAGATAAACAATCATGTCGTCTGCAAACAGGGACAATTTGACTTCCTCTTTTCCTAATTGAATACCCTTTATTTCCTTCTCCTGCCTGATTGCCCTGGCCAGAACTTCCAACACTATGTTGAATAGGAGCGGTGAGAGAGGGCATCCCTGTCTTGTGCCAGTTTTCAAAGGGAATGCTTCCAGTTTTTGCCCATTCAGTATGATATTGGCTGTGGGTTTGTCATAGATAGCTCTTATTATTTTGAAATACGTCCCATCAATACCTAATTTATTGAGAGTTTTTAGCATGAAGGGTTGTTGAATTTTGTCAAAGGCTTTTTCTGCATCTATTGAGATAATCATGTGGTTTTTGTCTTTGGCTCTGTTTATATGCTGGATTACATTTATTGATTTGCGTATATTGAACCAGCCTTGCATCCCAGGGATGAAGCCCACTTGATCATGGTGGATAAGCTTTTTGATGTGCTGCTGGATTCGGTTTGCCAGTATTTTATTGAGGATTTTTGCATCAATGTTCATCAAGGATATTGGTCTAAAATTCTCTTTTTTGGTTGTGTCTCTGCCCGGCTTTGGTATCAGAATGATGCTGGCCTCATAAAATGAGTTAGGGAGGATTCCCTCTTTTTCTATTGATTGGAATAGTTTCAGAAGGAATGGTACCAGTTCCTCCTTGTACCTCTGGTAGAATTCGGCTGTGAATCCATCTGGTCCTGGACTCTTTTTGGTTGGTAAACTATTGATTATTGCCACAATTTCAGAGCCTGTTATTGGTCTATTCAGAGATTCAACTTCTTCCTGGTTTAGTCTTGGGAGAGTGTATGTGTCGAGGAATGTATCCATTTCTTCTAGATTTTCTAGTTTATTTGCGTAGAGGTGTTTGTAGTATTCTCTGATGGTAGTTTGTATTTCTGTGGGATCGGTGGTGATATCCCCTTTATCATTTTTTATTGTGTCTATTTGATTCTTCTCTCTTTTTTTCTTTATTAGTCTTGCTAGCGGTCTATCAATTTTGTTGATCCTTTCAAAAAACCAGCTCCTGGATTCATTGATTTTTTGAAGGGTTTTTTGTGTCTCTATTTCCTTCAGTTCTGCTCTGATTTTAGTTATTTCTTGCCTTCTGCTAGCTTTTGAATGTGTTTGCTCTTGCTTTTCTAGTTCTTTTAATTGTGATGTTAGGGTGTCAATTTTGGATCTTTCCTGCTTTCTCTTGTAGGCATTTAGTGCTATAAATTTCCCTCTACACACTGCTTTGAATGCGTCCCAGAGATTCTGGTATGTGGTGTCTTTGTTCTCGTTGGTTTCAAAGAACATCTTTATTTCTGCCTTCATTTCGTTATGTACCCAGTAGTCATTCAGGAGCAGGTTGTTCAGTTTCCATGTAGTTGAGCGGCTTTGAGTGAGATTCTTAATCCTGAGTTCTAGTTTGATTGCACTGTGGTCTGAGAGATAGTTTGTTATAATTTCTGTTCTTTTACATTTGCTGAGGAGAGCTTTACTTCCAACTATGTGGTCAATTTTGGAATAGGTGTGGTGTGGTGCTGAAAAAAATGTATATTCTGTTGATTTGGGGTGGAGAGTTCTGTAGATGTCTATTAGGTCTGCTTGGTGCAGAGCTGAGTTCAATTCCTGGGTATCCTTGTTGACTTTCTGTCTCGTTGATCTGTCTAATATTGACAGTGGGGTGTTAAAGTCTCCCATTATTAATGTGTGGGAGTCTAAGTCTCTTTGTAGGTCACTCAGGACTTGCTTTATGAATCTGGGTGCTCCTGTATTGGGTGCATAAATATTTAGGATAGTTAGCTCCTCTTGTTGAATTGATCCCTTTACCATTATGTAATGGCCTTCTTTGTCTCTTTTGATCTTTGTTGGTTTAAAGTCTGTTTTATCAGAGACTAGGATTGCAACCCCGAGGCAGTGGTTCTTTTTAGTGGAGAATGGTATTTAGAAATCAAGATGTAGACATAATATGTGCTCTCTGCTACTGGGGTATCATTGCTTCTGGGCCCTTTCATTACAGAGCTAAAATAAATAAATGTATGTATATGTATTTCTGTCTCTATCTTCATCTATTGGAGTCTCTGATGGTTAGTTTTATATGTCAGCTTGGGTGGATCACAGTGCCCAAATATTTGGTTAAACGTTATTCTGGAGGTTTCTTTGAGGATGTTTTTGGATGAGATTAACATTTAAATCTGTAGACTTTACATGAAGCAGATTACCCTCCTTAATGTGAATGGGCCTCATCCAATCAGTCGAAGGCCTGAATAAAACAAAAGACTCATGTCCCCCAAGCAAGAGGGAACTCTTCAGCAGATGGCCTTCAGCCTTAAACTGCAACATTGGCTCTTCTCTGGATCTCTATCTTGCTGGCCAACCCTGCATATTTTGGACTTGGAAGCCTCCATAATCCTGTACACCAATTCCTTGAATAAATCTCTCTCTATATATTTGTGTGTGTGTGTGCGTGTATACAAATCCTATTGGTTCTGTTTCTAATTAAGAATCCTGATTAATACAAAGTCTGAAACAATACAATACCGTGTTCTTGCTCACCTTCCTCACTGATATTTACATCTCCCATCTTTTACAGTGAGAATCATGGTTTCCAATTAAAGTCAATATATTTACTCATTTTTTGTCCTAGTCCAAATATACATAACAAGACAACTGTCTTAGAATCTTTAAAACAGTCAATATCATGAAAAAAAGAAAGTAAAAAGGCAGGAGAAATGTTCTGTGTTAGATCAAACTAAGGAGATCTGGCAGCCAAATGCAGGGTGTGATACTTGTTTGGATTCTGAACATTACTGGGGAACTTTGAATATGGAATGTATATTAAATAATATTTTATGAAATTAAATTTCTTGGGTCTGATAATGATATTGTAAGGAAGAATATCATTGTAAGAGATGAGAGATTCATGTTGAATTATTTAGGAATGCAATGTCTTGATGTTTGCAAGCTATTCTTAAATGGTTCACAAAAACATATGTATGTAAATAGATATAGATATAGACAGATTGATTAATGAGGGAGGGAAAGACTGTGTGTGATGGGGGGAACATGTGAAGACATGGCAAAATACTAACAGTTAAGTAAATCTAAGTTTAGGAAAAATAGGAGTTACTTGGATTATCCTTTCAACTTTTCTGTTTGAAAGTTTTCAAAATAAAAAGATGGGGGAAACAGTAGCAAGTGTTATGTATCAAGTATTTATATATCCTTGTGCAGGTATTATATACCAAATGTTAACTTTGTTTTAGGCATGTGTCAAATACTTTATGAACATCATTCATTAACTTGTTTCCGTAATCCCCACTACAATCCTCTGAAGTAGGTAACGTTATCACCCTACTTCACATTTGAGGAATCTGAGGCTCAGAGAAGTAAAGGAATTTGCCTAAATTCACCCAGCTAGCAGGATAGGAAATTGAGGACCAGAGAGAGGAGTGACCTGCCAAGGCTGTCAACTAGATAGTGACCACAGCAGGACTGGGACTACAACATCTGATTCTAACTCTGGGGCTCAATCCCTTGCATCAGAAAGGTTTTTACTCTTTGTTTTCTTGCCCACTTTGGTTCCATTTAGAGAAAGGTTTCTGCTAGCTCTACTAGACTCATTCTGAAGAGAAAAGATTGTTTCCCTATTCCCCATTAAAAAAGATAAGCATCCAGCTTCCTGTCCTCTGGCTTTTACCCAGACCTTTTATACTCATTATTCTCCGCAATGCATGCTCTCTCTAGTTATTGGGTCACAACTTTATCAGATTCCAGAGATGTGAAAACCCAAGCAGGCGCAGAAGCTTCAGACTAAGGGCAAGCATTCCCATTCATTAACAGAGGGACAGTGATTCTTTGTCTGCCTCGAGCTGTTTGCACGCTATTCACTTTAAACACAAGCATAGAGTTGGCCCAGTATAGTCTTCTGCACACTGGGGGTTATGACCCATTAGTGGGTCCTGAAATCAGTTGAGATGGTGGCTGTCAGCATTTAAAAAATTATTTATAATCAAACTGGATAGAGTAGAAAATAACCGCACCCATGCTCATTATAAAGGTAGGTATTGTTTTGTGAGTGCACAGACAGACACATATAGATGTCTATTCTGGGTGATGGTATAAAATTTATTTCTTATGAGTCACAGTTAAAATGATTCTAAAGCTGCTGATCTAAGACAGAGGGTGGCAAATGCCTGTTTTTGTGAACAAAGTTTATTGAGACATAGCCATACCCACTTGTGTATGTATTATCTTTACGTATTATCTTTGGCAGCTTCTATAGAACAATGGCAGAGCTGAGTAGTTGTGACACACTGTAGTGCCTGCAAAACCCAAAGTATTTGTTACTTCGTCCTTTACAGAAAAATGTGTTTGTCCCCTTATAGCCTAGGATATTAAAGCAAAAATTTCAAATTCAAAGTCAAATAAAGCCCCCATTGTATATAATCTCTGGAATTTCTATCTCTAGTATTTCTCCCCCAATAACTAAGTTGTGTATTCACATATAGACTTATGTAAATGAATATATAATTACAGAAATATAGGTATAGCAAAAGTAATTATTGCTTTGGAAACTAGGAGTATTCCAATGCCATGTCCTTTTAGCACATAGCAAACAGGATGACCTTTCCATCCTAGGAAAATATTTTTATGTTTAACCTCATTGCACTCAACCAGACGTTTCCTTGCACAGATTTTCAAGTGAAATATTTCAATCCTGCATTCATCTTGGGGGCCACGTGTCTTATCCAAGTTAAATATTTCCAGAAAATAAATGTCTAGACACCGTCTCATATAAATTAAGCACCCGGTTTTTAAAAGATTCCTAGCAGACCTCCTTTCTGGTGTGTGGGTGAATATAATTTTACTCCTGTGAAAAATGCTGGGTAAAACCTGATGTGCCTAAGTCAGTGCACCTGCAGGTGACTAATGAGTGCTGCTCCGTCATTAGTGGACAATGCATGTGTGTACTTGTGTGTGCGTGCATGTGTTTGCCTCTGTGTGTGTGTGTGTGTGTGTATTAGGGAGGTGGAGGCCAGATGGAAAGACAAGACTCAGGGAGTGTATTTCATGCAAGAGCCCCCTCTTCTTTGAGATGATCATTTATAAGAATCTTGGATAAAAGAGTACATGTACTTCAGGGAGTCTCCATATTTGTTGAATCCTCTCTTCAGAGAATAAGAAATGTGTGAACGAAGTGCATGAAGATAAATTTCTATTGTAGCTCTATGACTTTTTATTTTATTTGTGTTTGACGTTTTTCAAACTGATGGGTTTTATTTAATTCAAGTGAGCCATTTTTAGTGTTTTTGCTATTTATAATTTCTTTAATATAGACTTCTGTATCACTGTGATATAAATTACAGTATTTTTCATTAAAAGTGAACTCTTGGCCGGGCATGATGATGCATGCCTGTAATCCCAGCTACGTGGGAGGCTGAGGCAGGAGAATTGCTTGAACCCAGGAGGCAGAGGTTGCAGTGAGCTGAGATTGTGCCACTGCACTCCAGCCTGGGTGACAGAGTGAGACCCTGTCTCAAAAAAAAAAAAAAAAAAAAGTGAAGTCTTTAAGAAAAACCAAATACTTAAAGGAATGAGCACACATTTTTAGCTTTTATTATATTTTATTACATATTTATATTTTATATACCTGTTATAAATATGGGTATTCATATACAATTTATTTCTAAAAATGTAAATATAAATATTATAAATATTGAAATCATTTGTATATTATATAAATATATTAAATGTAAAACAATTATGACAATAAGTATATAAATAAAATAAAAAATATGTTATATTGTGTAAATTCTCGTTATATATTTTTAGCTATGCTTATTAAGATAAAATAATTCCATATGAGGGAATTCATAGTAAAATACATTGAACCACCCACCTGAAATTCTCCAGAGAGATAATTTAAGAAGTAGTATTTTCCTTTTCTAGATTTTTGAAAAAATCATGCAATCATGCACAGTATTCTGTGTATCATAGTTTTTTTTTTTTTTTTTTGAAACGGAGTCTCGCTCTGTCACCCAGGCTGGAATGCAGTGGCATGATCTTGGCTCACTGCAACCTCTGCCTCCTGGGTTCAAGCAATTCTCCTGCCTTAGCCTCCCAAGTAGCTGGGATTACAGATGCATACCACCACACCCAGCTAATTTTTCATATTTTTAGTAGATAATGGGGTTTTACCATGTTGGCCAGGCTGGTATTGAACTCCTGACCTCAGGTGATCCACCTGTCTTGGCCTCCCAAAGTGCTGGGATTATAGGCATGAGCCACCACACCTGGCCTCTGGCATTTCTTAGCAAGCTCCATTGCAGTGGAGCTTGCTGGCCTCAACTGTTATGAATTCTGAATGTGGGAGACTGTATTTTCCAAATATGTCCATAGTAATATCTCCTATCCCACATTTCCTTTCTACAAAATGGCCTTGGCAATTTCATTTGTGGGAGTCTGGTTTCCTTCTGTTGGCAATTTCATTTGTGGGGAGTCTAGTTTCCTTCTCTTGAATCTAGTTTCCTTCTCTTGAATCTTTCCTTGTCTTGAATCTTGTGACCATAGTAGAAGTAATTCTATGGGACTTTAGAGAGCAGGTCATAAAAGGCAATACAGCTTCCATCTGCATCTGTTGGGATGGTAACTCTTGGGACCCAGCTGCCATGCTGTGAGGAAGTACAGGCAGCCACATGGAGTGGCTTTTCGTAGGTGTTCTAATTGACAGCCTTAGCTGAGGTTCTCACCAACAGGTAGCATCAACTCCAGATGTGTGAGTAAAGCAGCCTTCATAGGATTCCTGCTCCTACCATCAAGTTACCCCAGCCTGAGTCTCCTAGCTGAGGCCTGAGACACTGGAACAGAGACAAACTGTACCTGCTATGCCCTTTCCCAATTCCTGACCTAGGGTCTATGAGCACAATAAGATGGTTGCTGTTTTACACTATCACATTTTGGGTAGTTTATTTCACAGAAGTAGACAACTGAAACAGGTACTTAGTGTCTTTATTGTCAGCTGTGGCCACTGCTGGTCTCTTCAGGCACAGGAGGATGGTACCCAAGTTCTAGTACGATTGAGTTAAACAAGTCAACCTAATGGAATCCCAGAGACACGTCCTTAACCACCAAGATAAACATGCAGGCTAGACCATTTAAACAGCCAAGCTGGGTGAAAAAGAGGCAGATGATTTCACTCCTGTGCGGGCCTCACTGATAGACAACCAGTGAGCCAGCCTCTAATGTGCCTGCACTGTCTACCCACTGGCCTTCATGATGGCTTTGAGAATGTGACCCCTCTTCCATATGTCCCCTTCACAGAGCTGAAGACAGGCATCATCTTCTTATGCCCAGTATTAGGTCATTCTCACATTGCTATAAAGAAATACCTGAGCCTGGCCGGGTGCAGTGGCTCACGCCTGTAATCCCAGCACTTTGGGAGGCCGAGGCAGGCGGATCACGAGGTCAGGAGATCAAAACCATCCTGGCTAACATGGTGAAACCCCGTCTCTACTAAAAATACAAAAAATTAGCTGGGTGTGGTGGCACGCACCTGTAGTCCTAGGCTCTCGGGAGGCTGAGACAGGAGAATCACTTGAACTCGGGAGGTGGAGGTTGCAGTGATCCGAGATTGTGCCACTGCACTCCAGCCTGGGTGACAGAGTGAGACTCTGTCTCAAAAATAAGTAAATAAATAAAAATACCTGAGCCTGAGTAATTTATGGGAAAAGAGGTTTAATTGGCTCATGACTCTGTATAGGCTATACAGGAAGCATGGTAGCATCTGCTTCTGTGGAGGCCTCAGGGAGACTTTACTTATGGCAGAAGGCAAAGTGGCAGCAGGCATATCACATGGTCGGAGCAGGAGGAGAGAGAGACAGGGGAGGTGCCACACAGATCTCACATGAACTCCCTCATTATTGTGAAGACAGTATCAAGGAGGATGGTGCTCTACCACTCATAAGAAATCTACGTCTCAGCAGGCCCCACCCCCAACACTGGGGATTACATTTCATTATGTGATTTGGGCAGGGACACACATCCAAACTACATCATGATCAAACCATGCTATTTTACTTGCCAGTCATTGAGAATAGTCTGCCAAGGCCCCAACTCAAAGGATCTGTTCAAGCTATTTCTGCCCACGCCTTAATGCCTGCACACAAGTGCAGCCTCCCCTCATAATCCCCTGTGCAGTTTATAGCACAGAGATTAATAACATAGCCATGGGAGATATTCTACCTGATTCAAATCTTTACTCAGCAGCTTAATTGATCATGAGTACATTACTTAAAATATCTAAGCTTCAAGTTTCTTATGTATAAAATGGAGATGATGATAATAGTACCTATTTCATGGCAATATTGTGAGAATTTAAAAATGAATTAATTTGTAAAAACATTCAAAATAGGATCTGGCTTATAGGAAGCACTATAGTGAATAAATAAGATATACATTTATATATAATATATAGGAAATATATAGAATAGGCATACACAGTTATAAATACCTATATAACTATACATGAGATATATATATATAATATATGCTTATATATGATAAATATAAAGTATGTGTGTTTATATATTTTGTTTTTCTTAAAGCTCTTGCTACCCTCAATATTAATTGTATCATAGCCACGTGGTTATACATATTCTTTACCTACCCTGAAAATTCTTTGATATGAATAAAGCAGGTCTTAGTCATGGTTGTTTTAACTTGGAACCAGTGAAATACTCTGCCTCCTCTCTCACCTCTGTGACTGCAGAATCCAGCACAGGCTTGTCCACTGTAAGAACTCTATCAATATTGCTTGAACTAATGAATGGCTAAGGGATCCATCTGGGATGTGTCAGAGGATGTGCAGCCTAATGCTATGATGTTGAAAAATCAATCCCTCCTTCCATGAGCTCTCTGAACATGCATCGTCTCAAGTGGCAAAAGGTCTCAGACAAGCCCCAGTGATCTGGCATGTCAGCCTCCAGAAGGGAGCCAAAGTCAGAGAAATTTGAGGCAGTCATTAAACAAGAAGGGAGGGCTAAAGCAACAAGACCTTCTCCTGTGCTGTGACATCATCTTTTATCCATTTATAGGGGTGAAAATGGTTTACCAGTGGTCCTGGGAATTTATAAAAAAACACCTCAACTTCTTCATACATTTAAGAATATTAACGGCCCCAGGAAATGACTTGGGTGCTGAGGTCATTTCCTAGATGGGCTTGCAAATTTCATTTGTCGTCAATTTCAAGGCAAGTAAAAAGAAACTGGAAACTGGATGTGAATAGTTCTGGGAAGTGAGGGGGACATGGACACCATGCATACCACCCAGGGTCCAAGGAGGAACTTTTGAAACATGACATCATAGGCCTGGGACCAGGTCAGGCTTCAGTGATAAGGCACTTGAATGTGGAATATGAAAAGAGAAAATCTCTCCCAAGTGAAGTGGAGACCAGCTGCTATGATGTGTGGTCGTGTAATAGATTCACATTCATTTAAATATTTTTTAATACACACTTTCTACCAGACAATTCTGAGGACACAGAGATCAATACAATCTCTGTCCTCAGGAAACTCACTCTTGTGAGACACCAGCATACAAGCATGTAATCACCAAACATGTTCTAAGTGTGATGAGAGAGGGAAGCAGAGGTGCTGAGGAAGCTCAAAGGAGAAGCTGGATCAAATCTGCCAGCATGAATAGTGACTGCCAGTGTGGAAGAGGGGGCTTTGCTCATGATATCCCACACATTTGCCAGGGTGATTTTTTAAAACTGCAAATGTGGCCATGTTGTTTCCTTCTTACAATGCCTTTTTTAAATGATAATTTCTATGCACTAAATATTTGTGTCTCCCCATAATTTATATTGAAGCCATAATCCCTAATAAGATGGTATTTGGAGGTGGAGCCCATGGGAGGTGTGTAGGATGAGGCCAAGAGGGTGGATCCCCTGTGATGGGATTAGTGTCCTTGTAAGAAAAGACGCCACAGAGCTTGCACTCACTCTCTCTCTCACTCTCTCTGTCTTTGTCTCTGACTCCTCACCATGTGAGGACACAGTGAGAGGGTGGCTGTCTATAAAGCAAGAAGTCCCGCACCAGAACCCAACCATGTAGGCACTCCCTCTCAAACTTCCAGGCTCAGAACTGTGGGAATTAAATTTCCGTGGTTTGAAGTCTATGGTATTTGTTATAGCAGCCCAAGCTGACTAAGACAATCATTTAAAGTAATCATTGCTATCTCGAGTTGTCCCCTGACTTCCGGATTGAACCAACATAAATCTTACATGTATTGATTGATGTATTATGCCTCCCTAAAATGTATAAAAGCAAGCTATACCCCGACCACCTTGAGCACGTGTTGTCAGGACCTTCTGAGGCTGTGTCACGGGCTCGTCCTTAACAATGGCAAAATAAACTTTCTAAATTGACTGAGACCTGTTTCAGATATTTAGAGTTCACAAGGTGTATCAGTTTTCCTTACAAACCATTCAACATTCTTCGTAGTGCACCTCTGGCCATTGCTCTCCTGTTTCCTTTTCTACCACTTCCCCACGTGAACCTTGCCCCACAGGCAGGTTCAACTGCTTGCGCTTTCCCTGAAGAAGACTGCATGCTTCGGCATCTGCTGTTCTGTCTGCTCTCATGGTGCCTTTCTGCACTTTGTCAGCTAGATCTGTTCCTAGTCATCCTCCAAGTCTCAGTGCACCGGAGTTTCCTCTGGGAAGCTTTTCCTGCTCTCCAGGACAGAATTCACAACCCCGTCCTCCGGGCCTTTGCTTATGCCACTCTAGTGTCCTGAAATGCTCTCTTTCTGGTTGTCATCAACTTATCTTTCAAAACCCATCTCCAGAATTATCCCAGGTATGAAGTTTTTGCTGACTCCTCTGAGAGAAGCAGCCATGCTTTCCTTGATGTTTCCACTCAATAGACTTCCCTTGTTCCACCTGTGACATGGAGCTCTGCGCTCCTTGAAGGCAGACGCTGTGATTCTGTCTCCACATCCTCAGCCCTTGGTACATGTTTGGGAAATGAATGGATGGATGCATTTATCACATCACATTGTAATTAGCCTGCCTGTGTAACCTTGTATACCACTGTATATCATGAGCCCCTGAGGGCAGGGATTTGTTCCTCTATTTATTCTATCTTTTCTTTTTCTGTGTTTTCTCTCTCTAGCACTGCTATCCACACAGACTAAGTAAAAGGCAATGTTTGTTAGACGGGTGAGTCAAGGCTCAGGCAACTCATCTGGCCGCATTTGTGTTATTTTTAAATCTTACACTAAATGAAGTGACACAATGAAGAGTCCATGCTGAATTCAAAAGAACACCTTACAAGAAGCCCTACGTTCTGACCTTTATATCTTTATATCCAGAATCTTTACTGTGACCTTGGCCAGTCACTCACTCACTTTGAATCTATTTTCTTGGAATGACTTATCAGCTAGACTAATAATATCTAACACACAGGGTGGTTTTGAAGATTAAACAAGACGGTATACACAAAATGCTTGGCACTTGAAGGTGCTCAATGTTCATTTCCTTTTACTTGGTTAATGTCATAATATGGCTTCAATTCGATTAGTTCCTTAAAAGCAAAATTCTGTAGGTCTTTGAGAATTATAGACACAGTCTAGGTTATGTCCCCCAGTCAGCTGAATGTTAAATGGTGCCCTTGAAACCTGACACTAGACTTTGCCAGGAAGATATTAACCTACTTCCAACTCATGCTATTTTGGGATTTGATGGCTTTGGAAAGAAGATAACAGCTGACTTTTATGCAGATAGAGGATAGCTGTGTTCTGAAAGAAAGTGCCAAAACCTCAACTAATGCCACTTGGAAAGAACTCAGCACACTCTGAAGTTGGGCATTCAAAGGCTATTATTTGTATGCCAACATAAGAGTATATTCAGGAAGTTGCAAAAAAAAAAAAAATCAAATCTAGTAGCAGTAGACTCCAAGGGAACTGGAAAATTCTTTTGCCCTGCTGCTCGTATGTGTTCAGCAGCCACGAAGATGGAAATAAGGGTATATTTGTTAGAATAGTCTATGTTATGTTGTAGTTACAAATAACTTCAAACTTCCAGTGACTTGAAACAGCAAACATTTTATTTTATTTATGCCACATGTTGCTTATGTGCAAGCAGGGTTCTGCTCCATGTTGTTTTCACTCAGGAGTTGAGGCTGACAGAGGCTCCACCAGATGTAAAGCCCTATTCATTGTGGCTGGGGGTATAGGCCATGGTGAAGCACACACTGAGTCTTACAACTTCTGCTTGGTAATGACATCTATCCTATTAACACAGGTTTCATTGCCCAAGCCAGTCCAGGATGATGTCTTGATTCCTCATTTTGATGATGGGGTAAAGATGGTACAATCCACCGAAAAAGATATGCTTCGTTTGAGACATGTTACATTTGCTCTGCCTGAAGACAAACAGGAGCAGATATCAAATAGGCAGTTGAATGCATGGATATGGAGCTCAGGTGAAAGATATAAGCTTGAGATAAACATTTGGTGGTCATCAGCTCAGAAGCGGTAGACGGAGCTAAGGGAGAGTGGATAGAGTAAAAAATCAATAAGAAAAGTATGACAGTGTCATGTACTGGTAAGGATGTCAATAATTGGAATATTTATGCAATGATGATGAAGTACAAATTGATACAACTATTTTGAAAAACAATCTTCAATTAACTATTAAAGATGTGCAAACGCTCTCACCCAGCAATACCAGTTCTGGATATATAGCCTAGAAAATTTCAAAGAAGATATAGAAGAGACGTTTATAGCAACAAAAAAAATTGGAAACAACCCAAATATTCATCAACAATAGAAAAGCTAAAGAAATGTGGAGTATTCATACAATGGAATAATCCAGCAACAAAAAATTGTAAGGCAGAGCTGCAGAAACAACATGTATGAACCTTACGAACATAATGTTAAGTGGAAAAATAAAGTTGCAGAAGAGAATATCCATGATGATTCTTTTCATATAAAGTTCAAAAGCTTGCAAAACTAAACACGTGGTAAAACTTATAAGTGAGGAACAGATAAGCACAAAAATCAGGATAGCAGTTGTCTCTGTTGGGAAAGGGTTGGGGATAGGATCCCAGCAGTACACAGGAGGTTTCAAAGATGAATGTAATATTCTATTTCTTCAAAAGGGTGGTAGGAACAGGGGTGCAAGTTGTACATGTTTCTTTTATATCCTACGTGTATTTCATAAATGTTATTTTGCTTCTACTTAATACTTGTTACTATTTTATTTTTTAAAGTAACAATCTAAAATGTAAAAACAAACAGATGAAAAACAAAATAAAGGAGGATTAAACTCTCAGGCATAATACATTTTAAATGGTAACCAGAGGACAAGGAACCTTTAAAGGGGACTCACCCAATGGCCAGAGAGACAGCCAGGATGGAAGAATGTCTTGGAAATTAGTAGAAAGGTAATCATCATGGCTATCATTGATGAAGCATCTTCTATGTGCTAGACACTTGGCTAAGCACATTATAAATATATTCCACTTAATCTTTCGACAATACTAAGACATAGATATTATTATGTTCTCTTAACATACAAGGAAAATAAGAAACAAGAAAGTAATTAGTCCAAGGTCTTATATCTGTATAAGTGGCAAACTTGGATTGGAACAATGTCTCTGACTAAAAGTCTGTACTCTTAACCACAATGTTATGTGCAAGGGAATGAGGATTTTGAGAAGGAGGAAGGAGTCAGAAGCATCAAATGTTGCAGAGAAACCAAAATAAAATGGAGCAGAAATGCTTCCACTGGATTTGAAAGTGAGGAGGTTATTGGTTTCTGTCCACAGGGTCAGCAGTGATCATGGAGTGGTGTTAATGAAATTCAAATTGTATTAGATCAAAGCATGAATTGGAAGTGAGAAAGTAAAAACAAATCACATAGAATATTCCTCGAAGGAGAAAAATAGCCCTAATATTCCTCAAAGGAGAAAAATAGCCCTAAGCAAAGGTCATCTTACATTGACGATACTAGAAATTTGGGTAGGAAGGAAACTTTTAAGTGGTTTGCAGAATCAGGGACCTGATTTGAGTCAGGAAAGCGAGGGACGGGAATATGTGAGCAAGAGGGCCAGAGAGTAAAAGACCAGGGTAGATAGAGTGTTTTCACTTTCAACCCTGATGAGGTAACAAGACATGAACTTAACCTGCTCATAAACAATAAACAACAGGATCAGTTAGGTGAAGGAATTGATTTCCAACATTGGACAATAGGTAGTGCAGGGCTATGATCCTTAAAAAGAAGTTAACAAATAAGGTGAGCCCTAAAGCGGCTCCAGCTTTCTGCCTGCAGGTAACTTCTAAACTGTGAACTTAGGGAGAACCTGAAAGGAGCCTGGAGACCCCACTTGAGGACCATATAAGAGATGAGGAAATTGAGATATTCAAAGTTTCTAAGGCAGAGCTATAGAAAGAATGGATCTAGGTAAAGAAAGATCCCCAGAAATCTGCATAGGGTCCCCCTTAAGTCTTTGCTGAGTAAAAAGTCACATTTGTATAGAGCGAGGTGACACAAAGCCAGGCAAAGAATGACCAGGAGTTGTAATCAGAACAATTCCCAGAGGTCACAGAAGGCAGAGGAACATTCAAGCTTCCACCAGTCAAATTGCAAGCCTTGGTGATCATATGGGACATTCAGTGAAAACCCCAGAGAAATCATACCATAGTCATAGGCTGAACAACCTCAGTAATAAAGCCTGTTCTGGAACTGCACCAGAAAATCTTACAAACAGGTCTCTAAGGAATCAAACTGATCCACAAATAATTTAACTACTCGTCAAAATAAAACACAACACTCTTTCAAGGAAAACAGAAAACTCCAGAACCTCATTGACATAATAGTCAAAATGTCTAGAATCTAGTAAAATATTTACAAGACATAACAAGACAGAAGAAAATGTGACTTTCAGCTGGTAGAAAAAAAAATCAAACAAATGAACACTAATCCATTAGTAGAAACAGACCCAGAAATAACAGAGACAATTATGAGCTATTAGAGAAGGACATTAAAATAGCTATTATAAGGGCCAGGCACGGTGGCTCATGCCTGTAATCTCAGCACTTTGGGAGGCTGAGGCCGGCGGATCACCTGAGGTCAGGAGTTCAAGACCAGCTTGGCCAACATGGCAAAACTCCCATTTCTACTGAAAATACAAAAAATTAGCCGGGTGTGGTGGCGGTCACCTGCGTTCCCAGCTACTTGGGAGGCTGAGGCATGAGAATTGCTTGAACCTGGGAGGCAGAGTTTCAGTGAGCCAAGATCGTACCACTGCACTCCAGCCTGGGTGACAAAATGAGACTTGGTCTCGAGAAAAAAAAAGCAATTATATCTATGTACAGGTATTAAAAGACAAACATGGAGTTAAGGAGAGAAAGAGAAGATATAAAATAGACCCAAATGAAATTTCTAAAAGTTAGAAAAAAAATCCCAATATCTAAAATGTTAATTTCAGTGAACATGATTAATAACAGATTAAATATTAGACAAAAAAGATGTCAACTTGAAACGAACTTGAAGACATAGCAATAGAATCTAAGTTGAAGCACAGAGAGAAAAATTCTCTGAGGAACAAAAACCAGAGTGTTAATAAATTGTGGAATATTATTAAGTAGGCTAATAAATGTGTAATTGTAGTACTGGAAAATAAAAGGTGGGGGGAGGGACAAAAAACGTGAAGAATAATGGTCAACATTTTCCAAATTTGATGACAACTCTAAATGTTTAAATTCAAGAAGATCAAAGAACCCCAGCGCACGAGCACACACACACACATACTCACACACACAATCACACCAAGGTGTATAATAATCAAATTGCTTAAAACCAGAGGTTAAAAAAATCTTCAAAGCACTGACATGAAAAGGATTCTATGTATATAGGAACAAAGATAAGAATGGCGGCATACTTCTTTTCGACACCAAAATATAGTGCTATGTATTTTTCAGTGTTAAACAACATTTTTTAAGTGCTGAAAGAGAAAAAGTAGTAAACCTAGAATTCTATGTTGAAAGTGAAAATATACTTCTTTTGTTTTTTTTTGAAAGAGTCTCACTCTGTCACCCAGGCTGGAGTGCTGTGGCACAGTCTCGGCTCACTGTAACCTCTGTCTCCTGGGTTCTAGTGATTCTCCTGCTTCAGCCTCTCGAGTAGCTTGTATTACAGGCATATGCCACCATGCCCGGCTAATTTTTGTACTCTAGTAGGGACAGGGTTTCACCAGGTTAGTCAGGCTGGTCTCGAACTCCTGACCGCAGGTGATCTGCTTGTCTCTGCCTCTCCAAAGTGCTGGGATTAAAGGCTTGACCCACCATGCCCCCTCCCGGAAAATATCTTTCAAAAATTAAGGTAAAATTTTAAAAGTTTTCAAAAACCAAAAGCTGAGAGAATTTATTAGCAGTAAACCTGCACCAAAAAAGTCCAAGAAAGTTCTTCAGGGAAAAAAGTATCAGGTGATGGGTAACATAGATCTACACAATGAAATGAAGGATACCAGAAATGGTAAATATATAGATATATATTACATACATTTTTTCTTATTTTAAAAATAGGGAAATTGAATATGAAAAACAACATGCATGACAATAGTACCATAAAGGGCTAAGGGTGGGGGATGAAACTAAAGGTTTAAATGGTCTTGACATTATATACTAGGTGGTATATTACTTGTATGTAGACTACACTATGTTCAAGAAGCATATTGGAAACCCTAGTTAAAATATTGAAAGTTAAAGAGGTTTAGCTAAGAAGCTAATATTGAATATAAAATAGAATAAAAATCCCCAAATTATTCAAGGAAACCAGGAAAATAGGGAAAAATAGACACAAAAACAGAGAAGAAAAGTAGAAAACAAATAGCAAGATGGTAGATTTAAACCCAACAATATCAATATATGTAAATAGTATAAATGCTACAGTTAAGAGGCAAGGATTGCCATACCGGATAAAAAAGCAAGACACAACTATATGCTGTTCACAGAAATCCACTTAAATATCAGGACACAGATATTTAAAGATTAGATGAAGATATACAAACATAAGCATAAGAAAGCTGGAGTGGCTATTTAATATAACATGAAAAAGACTCCAAAACCAATATTATTCATGGAGAAAAGAGGCATGTTATGGACTACATGTTTGTGTCTGCCCCAAATTCATGTGTTGAAATCTAATCCTCAGTGTAATGGTATTTGGAGGTGGGGCCTCTAGGAAATTATTAGATCAGGACAGTGGACCCTCATGATTCGTGCCCTTATAAGAAGAGCCTGAAGAGCTAGCTCCATCTCTTTTTATCATATTTGTATACAATGGAAAGTCAGCAGTCTGTAACTTGAAAGAGAGCCTTTACAGAACCTACTGGGCTGGCACTCTGACCTCAGATTTTTAGCCTTCAGAAGCGAGATAATTAAGTTTCTTTTCTTTATGAGCCACTCAGTCTACGGCACTTTGTTGTAGCAGCTTGAACTGGCTAAGACAGGGAATATATGAAAAATTTACAGCTATGTAAAAGTGTAAGACAACACTTTCCAACCAAGATTGGGAATGAACAGTGAATACCCAGTCTTATTACTTCTATTCAGCCTCGGATTGGAGTTCCTGTACAGTGCAATAACATAAGGAAAAGAAAAGAAATAAGAGGCATACAGATTGTATAGTAAAAAGTAAAGTGTCTTTATTCATACAGTATATGATTGTCTATGTAGAAAATCATAAATAATTTACAGAACAAAAGGTAAATGTATCAAGAAAAAAAGATCAATATAAAAAAGTTATGTATTTCTATATACTAGCAATGAATTACTGGAAACAGATTATTAAAAAGGAAGTCCATTCACAACTGCATTAAGAAAAGATGAAATACTTATGGAGAAATTTAGCAAAATATGCATAAGACCTGGACAATAAAAAATATATTACTGAGAAAAATTAAAGAAGACCTAAATAAATAGGGACGTCAAGTTTATGGAAAGGAAAACTCAATATTGTTAAGATATATGTTTTTTCCCAGATTGATCTATGGATTTAGCACAATCAATCACGCTAGCAGGATTTTTATCAAGATTGACAAGCTGATTTTAAAGTACCTATAGAAATGCAAAGGACTTAGAATAGATTCATATTTTTTAAAAAAGGTGAGCAAAGCTGGAACATGTTACTCAATTATATATATATTTTTTCTAGATTCATGGGGTACATATGCAGGTTTGTACATGGGCATATTGTGTGATGCTGAGGTTAGTAGTAAACATGGTACCTGATAGGTAGTTTTTCAACCCTTGCCTTCCTCCTTTTCTCCCTCCTTTCAGAATACCCGATAGTTATTGTTCCCATATTTGTGTCCGTGTATACCCAATGTTTAGCTCCTACTTGTAAGTGAGAACATGTGGTATTTAGTTTTCTGTTTCTTCGTTAATATGCTTAGAATAATGGCCTCCAGCTCCATTCACATTGCTGCAAAAGACATGATTTTATTCTTTTTTATGGCTGCATAATATTTCACAGTGTATATATACCACATTTTAAAAAATTCAAATCTCTATTGATGAATACCTGGGTTGATTTCATGTCTTTGCTATTATGAATAGTGTTGTCTGTAATAAACATATGAATGCAGGTGCCTTTTTGGTAGACAATTTATTTCATTTGTGTATATACCCAATAATGGGATTGCTGGGGTGAATGGTAGTTATATATATATATATATATATATATATATATATATATATATATATATATTTTTTTTTTTTTTTTTTTTTTTTTTTTTTTTTTCCAAGATGGAGTCTCGCTCTGTCGCCCAGGCTGGAGTGCAGTGGTGCAGTCTCAGCTCACTGCAAGCTCCGCCTCCCGGGTTCATGCCATTCTCCTGCCTCAGCCTCCCTAGTAGCTGGGACTCCAGGTACCCACCACCATGCCCAGCTAATTTTTTGTATTTTTAGTACAGACAGAGTTTCACCATGTTAGCCAGGATGATCTCAATCTCCTGACCTCATGATCCTCCCACCTTGGCCTCCCAAAGTGCTAGGATTACAGGCATGAACCACCACGCCCGGCCGGTAGTAGTTCTATTTTTAGTTCTTTGAAAAATCTCCAAACTGCCCTCCATAGCAGCTGAACTAATTTGCATTCCCATCAACAGTGTATAACTTTTCCTTTCCTCTTCAACCTCACCAACATATGTTACTTTTTGGCTTTTTAATAATAGCCATTCTGTCTGGTGTGAGATGGTATCTCATTGTGGTTTTAATTTGCATCTTTCTGATGATCAGTTATGTTGAACATTTTTTCATGTGTTTTCTGTCCACTTGTATATCTTCTTTTGAGAAGTGTCTGTTCACTTTGCCCACCTTTTAATGGTGTTATTTGTTTTTTTCTTGTTGATTTGTTTAAGTTCCCTATAGATTCTGGATACTAGACCTTCGTCAGATGCACAGTTTGCGAATATTTTCTTTCATTCTGTAGGCTGTCTGTTTACTCTGTTGATAGTTTCTTTGGCTGTGCAGAAGCTCTCTCATTTAATTAGATCCCAATTGTGATTTTTTTTTTGTTGCAATTGATTTTGAGGACTTGGTCATAAATTTCTTGGCCTAGGCCAATCTCTAGAAGAGTATTTCCTATGTTTTCTTCTAGGATTTTTATAATTTGAAGTCTTACATTTAAGCCTTTAATCCAGCTTGAGTTAATTTTTGTATGTGGTAAGAGGTGGGATGGGGGTGGGGGTCCAGTTTCATTCTTCTGCATATGGTTAGCCATTTTTCCCAGCACTATTTATTTAATAGGATATCCTTTCCCTACTGTTTATTTTTGTTGACTTTGTTGGCGATCAGTTGGTTGTAAGTGTGCAGCTTTATTTCAGGAGTCTATGCTGTTCCATTGGTCTATGTGTCTTTTTTTTTTCTTTCTTTCTTTCTTTTTTTTTTTTTTTAACCACTACCATGCTGTTTTGGTTACTGTAGTCTTGTAGTATAGTTTGAGTCAGATAATGTGATGCTTCTGGCTTTATTATTTTTGCTTAGGATTGATTTAGCTATTCAGGCTCTTTTTTGATTCCATATAAATTTTAGAATAGTTTCCTTCTAGTTCTGTGAAAAATGATGAAAATTTTATAAAATAGCATTAAATCTATAGACTGCTTTGGGCAGTATAAACATCTTAATGGTATTAATTCCTCCAATCCCTGAGCATGGAATGCTTTTTTATTTGTTTGTGTCATCTATGATTTCTTTCAGTAGTGTTTTTTAGTTCCTCTTTTAGAGATCTTTCACCTCCTTGGTTACATGTATTACTAACTATTTTATTTTATCTTTGTGTGACTATTGCAAATGGCATTGTGGTTTTGATTTGACTCTCAGCTTGAATGTTATTGGTGTATAGAAATGCTACCAATTTTTGCATATTAATTTTGTATCCCAAGTATTTGGTGAAGTTGTTTATCAGGTGTAGGAGTCTTGGCAGAATCTTTAGAGTTTTCTAGGTATATAATCATATCATCAGTGAAGAGGGATAATTTGACCTCCTCTTTTCCTATTTGGATGTCTTTTATTTATTTCTCTTGCCTGATTCCTCTAGCTAGGACTTCCAGTACTATGTTGAATAGGAGTGCTGAGACTAGACATCCTTGTCTTGCTCCAATTCTTAAGGGGAATGTGTCCAACTTTTGCCAATTTGGTATGATGTTGGCTGTGGGTTTGTCATAGATGGCTTTCATTATTTTGACATATATTCCTTTGATGCCTAGTTTACTGAGGGTTTTTTTTAAATCATAAAGGGATATTGGATTTTATCAAATGCTTTTCTTCTGTATCAATGGAGATTATCATATATATCGCTTTTGTTTTTAATTATTTTTAAGTGGTAAATCACATGTATTGATTTGTATATGTTGAACCACCCTTGCATCCCAGAAATAAAGCCCCCTTGATTATGGTGAATCAACTTTTTTATGTGCTTCTGGATTTGATTTGCCAGTATTTTGTTGAGGATTTTTGCATCTATCTTCATGAGGGATATTGGCCTGTAGTTTTCTTTTATTGTGTCTTTGCCAGGTTTTGGTATCAGGATGATACTGGTTTTGTAGAATGAATCAGGGAGGAGCCCTTTCTCCTTGATTTTTTGGAATAGTTTCAGTAGAATTGATATGAGCTCTTCTTTATATGTCTGATAGAATTCAGCTGTGAATCCATCTGGTCCAGGGTTTTTTTGGACAGTAGCTTTTTTTTTTTTTACATTATGATGAAGATTCAATTTCATTACTCATTATTGGTATGTTCAGGATTTCTGTTTCTTCCTGTTTTAAACTGGGGAGATCCTGTGTTTCCAGGAACTTACCCATTTCCTCTAGATTTTCTACTTTGTATGCATAGAAATGTTCATACTAGTCTCTTTCAAAAATTCAACTTTTCATTGTGTTGATTCTTCATATAGTATTTAGGGTCTCAATTTCATTTAGTTCTGCTCTGATTTTAGTTATTTCTTTTCTTCTGCTAGCTTTGGGATTAGTTTGCTCTTATTTTTCTAGTTCCTTTAGGTATGAGGTTGGGTTGTTAATTTGAAATCTTTCTATCTTCTTGATGTATGTGTTTAGCAATATAAACTCTCCTCTTAACATTGCTTTTTCTACATGCCAGCAGTTTTGATAAATGGTGTCTCTATTTTCATTTGCTTCAAATAAGTTTTTTATTTCTGCTTTAATTTTATTGTTTTAGCCAAAAGCCATTCAGGAGAAGTTGTTTAGTTTCCATGTATTTTTGTGGGTTTGAGGGTTCCCCTTGGTATTGATTTCTATTTTTACTCCACCATGGTCCAAGAAATGCTTGCTTTTTTTTTTTTAATTTATTGAAACTTGCTTTATGACCAAACATGTGGCCAGTATTGGAGTATGTTCTATGTGTAGATAAGAAGAATGTATATTCTGTGGTTGTTGGGTGGAGTATTCTGTATTCTAGTAGATCTAATTGGTCAAGTGTCAAATTTAAGTCTAGAATTTCTTTTTTAGTTTTCTGCCTTGATGATCTAATATTGTCAGTGGGGTGTTGAAGCTCCCTACTATTATTATGTGACTGCCAAAGTCTTTTCTTAGGTCTAGAAGTAATTGTTTTATACATAGGCATGCTTTAATGTTGTGTGTTTATATATTTAGGATAGGTAAGTCTTCTTGTTGAATTAAACCCTTTGTGATTATTTAATAATAAAAATAAAATTGTTTGTCTTTTTTTGCTGTTGTTCATTTAAAGTTCATTTTATCTGATACAAGAAGAGTGACCTCTACTCTATTTCTGTTTTCCATTTGTATGATAGATCTTTCTCCATCCCTTTACTTTGAGCTCACAGGTGTTGCTATGTGTGAGATGGGTCTCTTGAAGACAGAAGAATGGATCTTGTTTTTTTTTTTTTGTTTTTTTTTAAGGTAATTGTCCACTCTATGTCTTTTAAGTGGAATATTTAGGCCACTTATGTTCAAGTTTAATATTGTTATGTGAGGTTTTGTAATGTTGTTAGCTAGTTGCTTTGCATTCTTGATTCTGTAGTTGCTTTATAGGATCTGTGGGTTGTACACTTGCATGTGCTTTTATGGTAGAAAGTATTGTTCTTTTGTTTCCATGTTTACAACTCCCATAAGCATCTCTTTTAGGGCCAGTCTGATGGTGATGAATTCCCTTAGTGATTGCTTGTCTGAGAAACAGTATTTTTCCTTAGTTTATGAAGTTTAGTTTGGTGAGATATGAAATTCTTGGCTGGCATCTCTTTTCTTTAAGAATGCTAAAATGGGCCCTCACTTCCTTCTGGCTTGTAAGGTCTCCAGTGAGAAGTCTGCTGTTAGTCTGATGGGTTTCTTTTTATAGGTAATGTGACCCTTTTTTTCTAGCTGCCTTTAAGATTTCTTCTTTCATATTGTCCTTGGATAATCTGATAACTGTGTGCCCTCGGGATGGTCATACTGTATAGTATCTCATAGGAGTTCTTCAGATTTCTTGTATCTTCATGTCGACCTCTTTAGCAAGGTTGGAGAAATTTTCCTGAATTATGTCTTTGAATATGTCTTCCAAGTTACTTACTTTCTCTTATTCTCTCTCAAGCATGCCAATAAGTCACAGCTTTGGTCACTTAACATAATCCTATATTTCTTGAAGGCTTTGTTCATTTTTAAAAATTATTATTATATGTTTATTTCTGATTGGGTCGATTTGAAGGACAGGCCTTTGAGCTCTGAAATTCTGGTTGCTTTAGTCTGTTATTAAGGCTTACAACTGTATTTAAAAATTTCTGTAGTAAATTTTTCAATTCCAGAAGTTCTGTTTGGTTCTTTCTTAATACAGCTATGTCATCTTTCAAATCTTGGATCTGTTTTTTGGCTTCTTTGTGTTGGATTTCAGCTTCCTTTTGGATCTTGTTTTCTTCATTATCCATATTCTGAATTCTATATCCGTCATTCCAGACGTTTTATTCTGGTTAGGATCCATTGCTTGGGAGCTACTGAGATCCTTTGGAGGCAATGACACACTCTGCCTTTTTGTATTGTTAAAGTTCTTGTGCTAGTTTCTTCTCATTTGAGAAAGCTGACACTTTTTAAAAATTTGATATTGTTTGGATGGGTCTTCTTTATTTTATTTTATTTATTTATTTTTTCATTTATGGCAGTATGGCTGTGGTATATATTTGCAAGATTGATTGGCTTCATTTATGGGTGATTTCAAGGTACCAATGCTCTGCACAGGTTCCTTAGTTGCAAATAAGTTGCAGTGGCTTTCTCTAATGCATACCCTCCCCCAGGTATGCGTTTGCCTTCAGTGGGGGTGGAGCCACTGGAGAAGCCCGAGAAGCAGTCTCCTTCAGCCTACACTCCCCAGGCCCTGACAGGAAGAGCCAATGCCAAGTCAGCAACAGTGTACTGAGGAGGGGGCTGGGATATGAGATATGACCCCTCTCCACATCTGCTCCTGGGCTTTGGTGGTGCTGCCTTCAGTAGCTGATGCCATGCTCACCTTTTCTTTGACCTAAGGAGGGCTTTGGTAGACTGTGTTCCCCTGTCCTTAGGGGCAGACTGCACTGAGGGTTGGATCTCCAGTGGAGTGGGGCCCCTCCTTCTTCTCAGAGCTGCTGGGGCCCTGTCCCTCAAAAGAGCTAGGGAGAAGGCTGAGGCCCCCAGCAATGACACCCACAGATGGGTTCCAGGTCATAAAGATGTCCCTGGCTGCAAGTCTTACTGCCCAGGAAAAACTCAGCTTCAGCAACTCTCCTCTTGCTCCAGTCCTGTGATGGGAGAGGACTTAATTTCAACAGCTACTGCTGGGCCACTCTCCACATTCCCTGCTAAATTCTGGCTATGGGGGCCTTTCCACCATTCCAGAGCAAGTTCTTCAATCTCTGGCCCAAGACTAAAATGTCTGTTGTGGCTGCTGCTGCCAGGTGGCCAAACAATATCTCTAAATTCTCAAAAGAGTGCCATATGTGGGCTTGTGACTGGAAAGAGTGGGACCCTTCTCAGGTGGAAACAGCATGGGCAAGAAACTGTGTGGAGTGTGATCTGTTAAAGTCTCAGTCTCACAGCAGCTTCTAGCAGGATGTTGGGCATTGTCCTATGTATGCATAGGAGAACTTGGCTTCCCTGTCCCTCCTTGGCTGGGTGGTGGTTGCAGCCATATCAGCCTAAACTCAGGCCAAGGGCTGTTCTCAAAGTAGTACCATGAGCCTGGGACTGGAGAGGGTGGGGCACCACACAGACAAGCAATGTGAACAAGAAGCTGTGGGGAGTGTGTTCCATTAATGTCTCATCCTCAACAGCAGGTCACAGCAGGGTGGCAGGGACCCTCCAAGGATTGTGTGGAAGTGCCTGTTCTCTTCTCTCTCTCCTTGGAGAAACACAGTGGCTGCAGCCATGTCTGTAGATCATTGGTATGTGGGGACTCTCCAAATGGCACCTGGCTGAGGCTGCCCTAGGCTTGAATACCTGTGGAATTTTGTGTGGGTTCTCTTTCTGAAGCAATGTCCCTGTGCAGTCTTTAGGTAGCTCCATATGTCGGAAACAAAGGCCTCTTGGGTTTAGGGTCTCTCCCAGAGTTCTGGGGATTCCTCTTTTACTGTTTTCCTGTGTCCAGGAATACATATCTACATGGTAGAATAATCCAATCTGGGTGGTTAGTGTATCCATCACTTCATGCATTTATCATTTCTTTGTGGTGAGAATATTCAAAAGCCTCTCTTCTAGCTATTTAATAATATACAATATTTTACTGTTAACCATATTCACCCTACTGTGCAATGGAACACCAGAATTTATTCATCCTACCTAATTGTAACTTTGTGCCCACTTACCAACCTCTCCCTATCCTCCCCGCCCCTCACCACTCCCCATCCTCTGGTAACTACTGTTCTACTCTGCTCCTATGATATCAACTTTTTTTTTTTTTTAACATTCCACATATGAGTGAGATTATGCAGTATTTGTCTTTCTGTGTCTAGATCATTTCACTTAACATGATGTCCTTGAGGTTCATAAGTGTTGTTGCAAATGACTGGATCTTATTATTTTTTATGGCTGAATAGTATTCCATTGGGTATATATATCACATTTTCTTTTTTGTTTTTTTTTGAGACAGAGTTTTGCTCTTGCCCGGGCTGGAGTGCAATGGCGCGATCTCGGCTCACCGCAACCTCCATCTCCCAGGTTCAAGTGATTCTCCTGCCTCAGCCTTCCCAAGTAGCTGGGATTACAGGCATGTGCCACCAAGCCTGGCTAATTTGTATTTTTAGTAGAGACAGGGTTTCTCCATGTGGGTGAGGCTGGTCTCGAACTCCTGACCTCAGGTGATCCGCCTACCTCGGCCTCCCAAAGTGGTGGGATTACAGGCGTGAGCCACCATGCCCAGCCCACATTTTCTTTATCCATTCATTTGTTGTTAGACACTTAGGTTGATTCCATATCTTAGCTATTGTGAATAGTGTTGCTTATAGACATGGTAGTGCAGGTATGTCTTTGACACACTGATTTGATTTCCTTTGGATATATACCCTTGACACACTGATTTGATTTCCTTTGGATATACACCCAGCAATGGGATTACTGGATCATATGGTAGTTCTATTTTTAATTTTTGAGGTAATCTCTATACTGTTTTCTGTAATGACTGTATTAGCCTGTATTAGCCTGTAACTCTATCTCTGTTTTCTGTAATGACTGTATTAGCCTACACTCCCACCAACAGTATCCTTTTTCTCCACATCCTTGCCAACACTTGTTTTCTTTTGTCTTTTTGGTAATAGCCATTCTAATTAGAGTGAGGTGGTATCTCACTGTGGTTTTGGTTTGCATTTTCCTGATTATTAGTGATAAGCATATTTTGTATACCTTTTGGCCATTTGTATGTCTTTTTTGAGAAATACCTATTGAAGACTTTTGTCTATTTCTTAATTGGGTTGTTTTTGGGTCTTTTTGCTATTGAGTTTAAATTTCTTGTCAAACTAGGCTTGGGTGCACAAGGGTACAGTCAGCCTGGCAGCTGTGGTGCTGTCTCTCTGGGGAGGCAGGGCTACCACTAAGCTGGATGTTGGGCCAGGTGGGTGTGCATGGGTGCATGATGCTGGATAGCCCAGTGGTGGTCTGTCAAGAAAGGCAAGGCTGCTGCTGACCAGCTGTTGTGCCATTGTGGTGTTGCAGGGCTAGGTGGCCCTGTGGCAGTCTTTCCCGAGGGTGAGGGTGATGGCTGGACTGGCATTCTAGCTAGTCATGGGCACACATGGACTGGGTGGGCTGCCTGCCTGTGGTGTGGGTGTGGGCAGGCAACAATGCTAGGTGGCTGTGTGTTGGCTTTTCCGCTGTGCAGGTCTGCCTTGTCCCTGGGGTGGTGGTGTGCTGCATCAGTTTAGACACCAGGGTCTTGGTCATTATATCTGGCCTAGGCTCTAGGCAGCCAGCAGTCAACCATGTGAATGTGATGGAATGACAGTGGGGCCTCAGGGATGGAGACAGTCAGTTGCTACTAATCCCCAGGGAAGGACTGATGCTAGTAGTGGTTCCAGTTTCAAGATGGTGCCAAGCTGTTTGTGGCAGCTTAGCTCACAGGGTGGGAGATGCTCAAGGCAGGCTCCTACTATGATGCAAGGCTGCTGCTTGAACTCCTGGCTACTCTCCAGATGGAATTCAGTGCCTGCAAGGACTGGAGGACTCTCCTGTAGTAAGGTTGGATGGCGTTGGTAGTGACAATGAAGACTACTGGGGATCTCCAGCTTACCATTTCCCTGTAAGAAGTCCCCTTAACCCTGAGCCTATCCCAGTGGAGGAGGCAGTGTGGGCAGAGGCAGAACGCCTTGCTCCCCTCTCCGTGACGCTGTCCTGGGTTTCCTGTGCTCCACAGTGATATCAACTTTCCCCTGGTGCTCTCCAGCATGCTTTCTCAGTCACTCCGGTGACTAAGAAAGCATGAAATATAGTTGTTTATTTGTTTTGGTCTTGTGAAGGGGACGAGCACCAGGTAACCCTAATTAGCTATCTTGCTGAAGTCTCTGTTCTCTATCTTGCTGAAGTCTCTGTTCTCCTTTCAATCAATTGATTTTTTATAAAGGTGCTAAGGTAATTCAATGGGAGAAAAGATAGTTTTTTCAATAAATGGTGTTGAAAAAATTTTTCCTCATGTATTACCTATATGAGGAAAAATTCACCTTGCTCTTTTCATTATACCATACATAATAACTAACTGAAATGGATAAAAACCTAAAGGTAAAACCTAAAACTACAAAACTTCTAGAAGAAAGGAGAATATTTTTTCAATAGGATTGGCAATGGTTTCTCAGGAAACAAAAAGCATGACACTTAAAAGGAGAAATTAGGCCAAGTGCAGTGACTCACGCCTATAATCTCAATACTTTGGGAGGCTGAGGCAGGAGAATCACTTGAGATGAGGAGTTCCAGACCAGCCTGGGCAACATAGGGAGACCCTGTCTCTACAAAAAAATTTAAAAAATCAGTTGGGCATGGTGGCAAGTACCTGTGATCCCAGCTACCAAGGAAGCTGAGGTGGGAGTATCACTTGAGCTTGGGAGGTCAAGGCCACAGTGAGCCATGATTGCACAACTGCACTCCAGCCTGGGTGACAGAGCAAGACTCCATCTCAAAAAATAAAAATAAAAAAGGAGAATTTAATTTCACTAAAACACTCAAAAACACTTAAGAGTATCTCCAAAAACACTGTTAAGAAATGAAAAGGCAAGCCATAGACTAAGAGAAAATTATTACAAAACATATATTTAACAGAGGCCTTGTAACCAGAACAAAGAACTTGTGCAATTCAATAATATTATTACCAATTTAATAAAAAAGGTGAGCAAAAGATTAGAGAAGATTTTTCATAAAACAAGGTGTACAAATGAGTAATAAGCACAGGAAAGGGTGGTCTGCTTCGGAATCACTTTTCACATCATCCTTCATGTGTTATTCCAAGATTTCTTTGCAAGTCCTCCCAAGTTTTCTAGTCTCTACCACAGTGTCTTGCAAAAACACAACATGAGTAAAGCAGTATCATGTGAGTGTTGAGCTATAGTCATGGATCTTACCTATTCAGTCAGTAAAAATTTTTTTCTCATGTAGTTGTTAAAACAGACAAACTCATTAGTAATTAGGAAAACGTAAAACAACAATTAGATACCACAACACACCAATTGGAATGATTGTAATTCAAAAGATTGATGATGCCTAATGTTTGTAAGGAAGTGGGGCACTGGAACTGTTGTCTATTAGTGGCTGGAATGTAAAATGGAACGCCCATGTTGAAAAACAATTTGACAGTTTCTTGTAATGTTAAACATATGTTGCCAACTAGGCAGTTCCACTCCTGAGTATTTACCTAAAAAAAAATGAAATCAGGAGGCTGAGGTGGGTGGATCACCTGAGGTCAAGAGTTCGAGACCAGCCTGACCAACATGGTAAAACCTCATCTCTACTAAATACAAAAAATTAGCTGGGCAGGTTGATGCATGCCTGTAATCCCAGCTACTTGGGAGGCTAAGGCAGGAGAATCACTTGAACCCAGGAGGCGGAGATTGCAGTGAGCTGAGATTGCACCATTGCACTCCAGTCCGGGCAACAAGAGTGAAACTTGATCTCGGGGAAAAAAAAAAAAAAAGAGAAAAGAAATCATAGCTCAAAGACTTGTATACAAATGTTCATAACGTCTCTATTCATAATACCCCAAACCTAGAAACAATCCGAATATCCATCAACAGATGAATGCATAAACAAATTTTGGTAAATTCATACAATGAAATACTAGTTAGCAATAAAAAGTAAGGGACTATTGAGGTATTCAACTCAACATGGAAGAATCTAAAAATCATGCTAAGCAAAAGATAATGTACACAAAGGACACATACCGTATTATTCCATTGATAGGGACAGAAGGAACATCGGTGGTCACATGGCATGTGGGAGTGGGGCACGTGCAGGGAACAGGGTAGGAAAGTTCCTCATCTTGAGGGCCTGGATTACAAGGGAAACTTGGAAAGGGCACAGGCCAACTGTTTGGGATTATGGAAATATTTTATACCTTGGTTGTGGTGATGGTTTTATGAGTTAATACATTTGTCAAAATTCATCAAATTGTGTTATTCAAATGGGTGTTTCATTGTATATAAATATCTCAGTGAAGTTGATTTTTTTTTTAAAGGTCAGAGTCTAGACTCCAGGGACTTCCATGATGGATATGTGACAAGGCAGATACTGAGAATTAAGTTCTCCTCCTTCCCTTCAGACCAGGTTCCTCTTCTTTCAGGACCCGTATTTTTCCAGGTGAAGGCAAGAGTACCCTAAAATTCTATGTGCCCCCCTGCCAGTACAGGGCTCATTGTAGGTGCTCAAGATGTATTAACAAATCCAGAGTGATGCTGAGAGGCTAGCCATTAGCTCCAATTTTGCTTTTTGGCAACTGTCTCTTGGTTTATTAAATAGCTTTAATTGTTAAAACTTCAAAAATTTCCCCTGTAACAGAATAATTTAACTTAGGATCCATCATGAATATCAATCAATTTTTAGAAGCACATTATGACTAGAGAATAAAACTATCTCAAATCAAAACATTGTGCATTCCTGAGTCTCTGTGTATATAATTATATCCTAAGATAATAAATAATAATCCACTTAGGTCAAGTAATTTAACTCCATGGCTTAAAACCCTTCTGTGGTTTCCTATTGTTTTTGAGATGAAGTCCAAACTCCATGGCCTGGCTCCTTAGATCCTTCATGATCCAACCCTTGCCGTTCTGTTCCATCTCATTACTTGCCACTTCTCTCATCAGGCTTTAAGCTTGTGGTTTTCTATGCACAGCACTCCGTCAGCTCTATTACTACTCCCTGGAATATCTCTTTCTCATTTGTTAACCTGGCAAAGGCATACTTGACTTTTAAGACTTAAGTCACATGAGAGCTCCTTCCAGAAGGCTTTCTGACCTCAACCTCCTACATTCCCACCTCCCTGGATCTGGGATACATAAGGCTTGTTCAGTGCCTCCATATACTCTGTGTCAGGGGTGTTCAATCTTTTTGTTCCCTGGGCCGCATTAGAAGAAGAATTATCTTGGGCCACACATAAAATACACTAACACTAACAATAGCTGATGAGTTAAAAAAATTGCAAAAAGAAATCTCATAATGTTTTAAGAAAGTTTACCAGTTTGTGCGGGGCTGCACTCAAAGCCTTCCTGGGCTACGTGTGGACCGTGGACCATCAACCACAGGTTGGACAAGTTTGCTCTTTATAGACCTTGATTGCTGCATTTCTTTAACCATGTGAAATGATTTCCTTCTAGTCTTTCTTCTTCATCTTGTGCACATGGATTATTCATCTCTGGATTTGCAAAAAGATAGTTATAATGGTATATTACCCAACTCCTGGACTCCTCATTTGAGTCCAAGAGTTGAAGGATGCAGTGAGCTATGAATACTCCGTTGTACTCCAGCTTGGGTGACAGAGTAGGACCCTGCCTCTGAAAAAAAAAAAAAAAAAAGAGTGACAGAACCAGAATTTCAACTCAAAGCTATGCAACTCTAAAGTGTATCAGTTCATGCCCTGCCCATTTTGCCTCTGCTCCAAGAATCAATGGCAAGAGTTGGTTTGGCCCATTGCTCACCAGTTGATACCATGTACATGTGTTTCACTGGTTAAGTTTTGAAGTGAATTGTTTCTCCCAGCAGTCTTGTTAAGTGACCAAGCTAAATTTGAAGTCAAGTGTCTTTGGTGTCATGAGAAGCTCCAGTCCAGCTGGTCTCTGTAAGAGTTCCTCCTAGAACCTCCTCCCAGACTGGTCTACTACAGGAGCCATCAAGCGCATTGGATGGCACCTTAGTGGATACCATTAAATACTTGTTGAATGAGCAGACCCAAGAATTACATACTTTGTAGCTTACAAAAGGAAACCTCTCCCCAAACTATTCTTCAATAGAGTGAAATACTCATCTATACCCTCATCTCGTTTCCAGTATTTCATGTAGAGTCTTGAACAGAGAAGGAATTTAATTAATGTTGGCATCTTTGTTGAAACATACATTTATGATAAGTTGTCTTTAATAATTCTTTTTTTCTTTTAAAGTTAAAAGACTTTAGTTTTAGCTTTGGTTCTGCTATCCTTGTGAACTTAAATAAGCACTTTCACCTTTCTTAGCTTCACTTTCCACATCTAAATAAAGGAAATGATAAAACTTACCACAGAGGACTATTTTGAGAATGAAATGATATATCATCTAGATCAAGAACTGTGGCATTTGAAATGGTCAGGGAGGTCTTTCCTGAAAGGTGATACTCACAATTATTCAGAGATGGTCAAATCTGGAGAGCCTGGGGATGCTGGCTCAGAAAGGCTGCATGAGATATTTAGTCAGTTTTGGGGCTGATGGCTGAAAGATAATCTTGAAAAATCGGAATGGATTGTGGTACAGCAGGGAGAGGCCATAATCTTTTCTCGCCCTCTTTCTTACCTCTGGAGACTTCTATCCACATCTGGCTTAGGTCATCAGGCAAAATTAATGTGTTGGTTTCACCCTGCTGACATCTGTTTCTGTCAGTGCAAGCCCTCAGCAGCTTGGGTGCAAATGAGCACAAGTGTCGGCCCTTTCCCCAGGGAGACCCAAACAATGTGCCTGAATTGGGAAGGAGATTTGGGCATGAGTGAGATACCATTTCATGATGCTGTCTGAAAATATATTGAGTCCACTAAAGGACAAAATTTGGGCAAGTGCTACTTCTGCATTTTATGGCAAGTGTCAAACCTCTTGCCTTGCAAATAGTAGCAAAACAAATCAAAGACAACTGCTTTGGTTCCTTTCTTATTCAAAGTGGAAAAAGTTGGATAAAAGATTATCAGTGATGGTCGGGTGCTGTGGCTCATGCCTGTAATCCCAGCACTTTGGGAAGCTGAGGTGGGCAGATCACCTGAGGTCAGGAGTTTGAGACCAGCCTAGCCAACATGGTAAAACCCATCTCTAAAATACAAAAATTAGCCAGGCATGGTGGCTCATGCCTGTAATCCTAGCTACTCAGGAGGCTGAGGCATGAGAATCACTTGAACCTAGGAGGCAGAGGTTGCAATGAGCTGAGATCACATTGCTGCATTCCAGCCTGGATGAAAGAGTGAGACTCTGTCTCAAAAACAAACAAACAAACAAACAAAAAAACTGTCAATGATAATAACTATCCTGTTACAAATGTACACACCCTTTTTCTCTGAAAGTAGCTATTCATTTTCTCATTTGATCCTCACAGCAAGTCCTGGGGGTAGATAGGGCAGGTATTAACCCTATTTCATAGCTAAGAAAAGAAATACTTAAGTTCACGAGGGTTAAATTCCTATCCAAGGTCACCAGCTAAGAAGTAGGAGATGTGGGTCTTGACCCTAGTCTTCTGATTCCAAATCCTCATTGAGTGACGCAAGCTGTTTTCTCCTCCACGTCTTTGCTCATGTTGTCCCTTCTGCCTGAAACAACTTAAAGCAAAGAAAGAACTTTCTAACAGCCACATTATCCAAAGAAGGAATGAGGTAATGAGCTCCTCATTGCTGGAGAAGGGTAAGCAGAGGGGAAACCAATTGGCAGGGATATTGCAGATGAGATCCAACTATTGAATTGTAGATTGGACCTGACAGTCCTAAAGTCCCTTCCAAACCTGTGATTCAGTATCATTAGCCTAAAAGTACTAAAGCTAGCATATAATCTCTGGACATGGAAGCCAGGCTGAGAGAGCAGAGTGTGGAATATGGATTCTGAACCAGAGGGAACCCTTCAATTCACATAATCTCAGAACATCATAGCCAGAGGGGGCCTTGGCCCAGGTCCCTGGGCCAACTGTCAAACTCCCCTCCCAACAATTACCATTGTGCTAATTAGGACAGCCCCAGCAATCTGAAAAAGAAGAATTTCAAGGACTGTTCTGGCTCTGAATATCTGGAAAAAGGTGCATCTTGGTGGCTCCTGGAGTAGACCAGTCGGGGAGGAAGTTCTAGGAGGGACTCTTACAGAGACCAGCTGGACTAGAGCTTCTCTTGACTCCAAAGACACTTGACCTCAAATTTAGCTTGGTCACTTAACAAGGCTGTTGGGAGAAACAATTCACTTCAAAACTTAACCAGTGAAACACATGTACATGCTATCAACTGGTGAGCAATGGGCCAAACCAACCCCTGCTACTGATTCTTGGAGCAGAGGCAAAAGGGGCAGGGCATGGACTGATACACTTTAGAGTTGCATAGCTTTGAGTTAAAATTCTGGTTCTGTCACTGTTTTTTTTTTTTTTTTTTTTTTTTTTCAGAGACAGGGTCCTTCTCTGTCACCGAAGCTGGAGTGCAATGGCGCATTCATAGCTCACTGCATCCTTCAACTCCTGGACTCAAGTGATCTTCCTGCATCAGCCTCCCAAGTAGCTGGGATTACAGACATCTGCCACCACACCTGGCTCATTTTTTAATTGTTATTTTTTGTAGAGATGGGGCCTTGGTGTTTCTCAGGCTGGTCTCAAATTTCTGGTCTCAACCAATCCTCCTGCCTGGGCCTCCCAAAATGCTGGGATTACAGGTGTGAGCCACTGTGTTCAGCCTCTGTCACTGTCTTGTAAAGTGACTCTGCAAATTAGTCACCTGTCTTTCCCTGTTTTCTTATCTATAATTTGGGAATTATGTAGGCACCCCTCTCAGAGAAATGAGTAAAATAACAGATATATATATATTCACATGGTACAAAATAGGTGTTTAATAAATCCCAATTTGTTGACCAAGTGCCGTGGCTCATGCCTGTAATCCCACCACTTTGGGAGTCCAAAGCAGATAAATCACTTGAGGTCAGGAGTTCAAGACCAGCCTGGCCAACATGACAAAACCCCGTCTCTACTTAAAATACAAAAATTAGCTGGGTGTGATGGTGCATGCCTGTAATCCCAGCTACTCAGGAGGCTGAGGCATGAGAATCTTTGAACCTGAGGGGTGGAGGTTGCAGTGAGCCGAGATCGCACCACTGTGCTCCAGCCTGGGTGACAGTGAGACTCTGTCTCAAAAAAAAAAAAAAAAAAAAGAAAAGAAAAGAAAAAAAAATCCCAATTGGCTGCTACCATCCCAGGTAGTATCAGCGTGTCCAATTACTGAAATATAAATGTTGTATAACATTTAAAGATACATGAAAACACTCGGAAAAAAAAATTTAAGAAATTGCCTACTGTTTTCTTAGATATTTGAGTGAGACCCAAGGGCTAACATTTATTATCCATCATTCAGTACAATTTGAAACAAAACAATGGGAGCCTGTGGGTCATTAATTTGGTTCAAGGGGTTATCGTGCCCAAGTCTAACTCAGTGTTCTTCACAGCTTTGCCCAACACTGGGTTTTCCCCTGCACTCTCCACCCCACGCCCCCTGTCAACATGACTGATGAATTCAATATCCCCCTCTTTCCAGCTGACGAGTCATTGAGCTGACTCCAATCAGCAGGATCCCCTGGTCGCCTGACTCAGGCCTCCCCAGTCAGAGGTAGAGTCTGCGGTGGACAGACAGACAGGTCTGGAGAGGCTGGTAAGTAAGAACTCCCCGAGTGCCTCCGCCAAGAACCGATTTGAAGAGGTTGCCATTCACTCTGTCAGGCTGCGTGTGGGATTCATCAGGACCCAGCCTCGCTTTCTTTCACCCCGCATCAATGTGCCCTAAAGGATTTTTCTTTAAACCTGATTGCTTGGAAGGCATTGTAAGTCCACTGCTTTGTGATTCATCAATCCATGACAGCTCATTATTCCAGAAGCATTTAGGCCCCAAACCAGGAGAGAGGGAAAGGTTTCTTGGTGCCATAACGGGACAAAGGTTCACTGGCTTATTGATTCATGTCACAAATATTTACTCAGCCTGCTATTTAACTATGGAGATGAACTAGGAGGTGGATATTTGCTGGTGGGCCTCACTGTAAAGAAATCCCACTCAACAAAGTAGAGTCCAGAAATTCTGACTTAAGTACTATTAATATTGAACTTCTGAGAAAAGCATTTTACATACATCACCTGACTGACTCTATGATGTCTCTGTATGTAATACAGTATCTTTATTTTACACATGAGAAAACGGAGGCTCACAGGGGCTCAGTGGCTTATTCAAGTTCCATAGCTAGAAGGCAGCAGAAATGGGATTCAACCTGTCTGACTCCAAATCCCATGCACGTAACCATTTTTTACTGCATTACTTGTTCCCACATTTTTTTTTAGTTGTTGATAGGTTAAAAGGAAAACAAAGCTGTTTATGGAAGCATTTGAAAAATATAATGCTCTCAGTTGTAAGAGAATACTGTAGTATTGAGTTATCTGGAATTGCATGGGATGTAACATTCAATGGACAATGGAGCATTTGGTGGCCTGACCTCTCTTCCAAGTTCAGGAGGCCTCTCAAGTTTCAGTCATCAAGGCTCCCCTGGAGCACTGGGATTCTGAACTATTTCCTTATGTACTTCTCCTGGGCTGAGGCTCCTGAGTGTGGCTGAACCTGGTGGCACTCTTCTGCCACATAGAGATGAGGTCAGCCTGGACACTGCCCTGGGGTTTTAATCTAAATAACCACTGGATTAGGCTGCATTCAAGCTGGCAAAAATGTTTATTTCTTATATCTACTTGAAGTAAGCTTCCTTTCCAACAGCCCCCACTAAAAGAGAAGGGATAGAGGGCTTGTCTGTGTTCAGAGAAATCTCTCTTGTATTCATTAGCTGTCGGTAATAGAGGCTGAGTTTTTCAGATCCAAAAGACATGGAGATAGGATATTAAGAGACAATATGGAGTAGCAGAAAATGTATTGAGCTGGGAGTCTTACTCTAGGTCAGAGTCCCTTGTATTCAATACTTCACTCACTGTGTCACTTTGGGCAAGTTGCTTAACTTCTCTGTTTTCATTTTTACATCTATAAAATGGAGATGATAATACTTCTTTATCTTACAGAGTTATTGTGCAGGTCATATATAATAATAATTTTATTCATTCATTCATTCATTCAGTGACTGCTAGAAACTTGATATAATGATGAATAAGACAGTCATAGTCTATGCTCATGAAGCTTACAGTCTAGTGGGAGAGATAGATATAAATCAATCTTGATGGAGAAGTAGTTGTTCAAACAAAAGTTATGAAAAAGTATTATAAGAAAGGAATATAGGGTGCTGTGAGGGCCTATGGCTGAAAGTGTCATTGAAAATGAAACTAGAGGGATGAGTCATAGGTGGTGGAATTAAAGGGGAGAGGAAGGGCATTTTGCTTAAGTAAAGCAGCATGCATGCAGTTGCAATGGAGTTTTGCACAAACCAAGAACGGAGAGAAAGTCAATGTGTAACATGACCATATGGTCCTGTTTTCTGTGGATAGTCCCTTTGTAAACCCAGTGTATTCATTATAGAGCTTTTTTGCATTCCCTAAAGCATCTCTACTGGATGGAGAAATAATAGTCATCTCATTAATGTGGCTGGTGTGTAGTGAGCAAAGTGGGATGTTAGGCTAAACAGGTTCACTTAGATAGATCCAAGCTTTGTAGATCATATTAAGGAGTTTGGTCTTTACTTCAAGAGCAGTAGGCACAAACTGGAGCTTAAAAATTAGATCAGAATACTAGTTAACATTTATTTAGTATTGCTACATGCCTGTATTATGCAATCTGCTTTAGAAGACAGAGGTGCCATTGCAATCTCCACTTTATATACAAGGAAACTGAGCCTTGTACAGATCAAGGGACTTGCCCAGGGCCACATGATGATTAGTGGCGGAGTGCTGATTTAAAGCCAGATGTCATTCCCAAGACTAGGTATTTAATCTCTCTGACACTGACTCCCAGTGTGGAAGCCTTTAGCTATAAATGCATTCTGTTCAAAAGCTACTTCTTTTCTGAGCACTTAGCCAACTTTCATATAGGCATGTTGAAGTAAAGTGAAGCCTTCACAGCAACATCTCCCTACTCTATGAAACAGTAGAACTGAGTGCTAGAACGGACGTCAAAATAGCAGCAATGAAACCCACTGTGGCATCAGTATTTAGGATTCAGGCCCTGGTCCTGCCAGCTGTGACCTGAGTAAAGCCACTTGACTTCTCAGAGTCCATTTGACAACTCTCTAACAGGACAAACCTAGTCCTTTACCAGGAAGAACACACCAAATGTGAAAGGGCCCTGCAAACTGGAAAATGCAATGGTGATAACAACAACCAAACCCAAGAAAAACCTTTGTTAGGAGCTTTCTTCTTACCAAAGGACTGTGTTAAGTGATTTATGGAAATTTTTTTCCATTTACCCTTCAAAATTACCCCACAAAATAGGCACTATTATCATCACCATTTAACACATGTGTAATCTGAGGCCCAGAGAATTAAGTAACTTTTTATTTATTTATTTATTTATTTATTTATTTATTTATTGGAGAGGTGGGGGTCTTGCTATGTTGTTCAGTCTGGTCTTGAACTCCTGGCCTCAAGTAGTCTTCCCACCACAGTACCCCAAAACATTGGGATTATAAGCATGAGCCACTGCGCCTGAAAATAATTAAGTG
The DNA here is from genome assembly GCF_000001405.40 of Homo sapiens. Lineage (NCBI taxonomy): Eukaryota > Metazoa > Chordata > Mammalia > Primates > Hominidae > Homo > Homo sapiens. The sequence goes on along the minus strand of NC_000001.11, from coordinate 56,329,306 downwards.
ACTTGTCAAAGGTTACAGGGTTGGTACTAAGAGCCACCAAGCTAGGGTTCTTTGCCATTATATAAGTTATGAAACAGTTTTATGAAAAGTACTATAAGAAAGGAATATAGGGTGATGTGAGGGCCTGTGCCTGAAAGTGTCATTGAAAGTGAAATGGGATGAGTCATAGGTGGTGGAATTAAAGGGGAGAGGAAGGATGTCTTGCTTAAGTAAAGCAGCATGCATGAAGTTGCAAAGGAGTTTTGCACAAACCAAGAATGGAGAGAAGGTCTGTGAAGGTGGTCATATGAACAGGATATAGGCTGTTTTCTGGGGATAGTCCCATTTAAACCCAGAGTCCTTATTAATAGGGCTATTTTGCACTCCCTAAAGCATCTCTACTGGATGGAAAAATAATACAGTCATCTCATTAATGTGGCTGGTGTGTAGTGAGCAAAGTAGAATGTTAGGCTACAAGCTCTGTCCAAAGAGGACAGCATACCACAGATGGCTCTGAACCATTTATCCCGAGAGCTTAAGAGCCCCAAGGATGAGGATGTTCAAGAAGAGAAGTGGAAGGCAGAGAGGCACTGGCTTATGGGAGTCTGTCCAGGAAGAGAAAGTGACCTCAGGTTAAGGCTCACTCACAGGGTGTTGAGGGAGTCCTGAGATGGCCAGGAAGGGCCAGAGAGGAATTGATGATGAGAAGTAAATTTGTTAGGACACAAATGATGGGTTTTGTTTGGAAGATAGATCTCTTTTTTGCTCTGAATAGCATAGTAAATGAGAATATGACTACCATTTTGGTGAGTTCTCAAGTGGATTTTATTGAGGATGGTACAACATTGCTATGTGTTTTCTCTCATCAATCAATCAACAAATGCTGCACAAACCAAGACTCAACTAATGTGATAAGTGCCATATTTTGAGAATTTATTGCCTATCAACTATCATTCCATATTTTTTATACATATTACTCCATTAAACCTTTAAATCAGGCCCTGTTTTACAAATGAAGAAACAGCACAGGAAGTGAAATTCTAAGCCAAAGTTCCCATAGCTGGTGAATGGGTTTGAACCAAAGTTGTTCCACTTCAGAGTTTGCATTCTCAATCACTGGACAAGGTCACCTTCACCGACATATACCAAGTAGAGTGGTCTCAACTCATATTTATAAAGTGCCTGCTCTGTCCTGGGCCCTATGAGTTGCTTTTATATAACTTTATTTAATTTGGCTTTGCCATATAACCCTGGACATGGCACTTAACACTTTTGGTCTATTTCCTCATCTGTAAAACGAGGATAGTAATAGTACTTACCACAGAGGACTGATAAGAGAATTAAGTGAGATAAGTAATGCAAAGCACTTAGTAGAGAGCCTGGCAAGCAGAAAGCACTGGAAAAGTGTTTGCCAAATCAATATTCTGGACAACTGCCTTGTTCTATAGTTGCTTTATCTATTATTCTAATTTTAGCCTGGAGCTGAGAGCCATAAAGAAGGCAGAAGACACTATTTGCTTGCCTCTGGATGACGCAGAAGAGCGACTCTTAGCATCATAGCTACTATTGCTTCTTCTTCCTGATCCCCTGCTGCCTCCTCTTCCTTCTTCTTCATGTACAATAAACTGCACATATTGAAAGCATACAATATGATACGTGTATATACACACCTATGAAACTATCAAAAATAATTAAAATAGGGAGCATATCCATCACTCCCATATGCTTCCCTGTACCCCTTGATGGTCCTCTCCTGTCCTTCTCTACTTGCTTCCTCCAACCTCATTCCCATCCCCATCCACATCCCCGTTTTCATCTCCATTCCCATCCCCATCTACATTTCCACCCCATCCCCATTTGCATCTCCATTTGCATCCCCACTCCCATTCCCATCCCCACTCCCATTCACATCTCCATCCCCATCCCCTTCCCCAGCCTGTCCTCATTTTCACCCCCATCCCTGTCCCCAAATCCATCTCCATCCTCATCCCCATCCCCATCCCCATCTCCATCTTCAGGCAACCATGGATCTGCCTTCTGTTACTGTAGATTATTTTGTATTTCTAGCATTTTACATAAACAAAATCAAACAGTAAATATTCTTTTTAAATTTTGCTCTTTTTAATCAGCATAATTATTTTGAGGTTTACCATGTTATTCTATGTATGAATAGTTCCTTCTTTTTATTGGAATACTATTTCATTATATGGATATACCATATTCACGGATCCATTTACCTGCTGATGAACATTTTAGTTGTGTCTAACTTTTAGGCATTACAAATAAAGCTGTTAGGAACAATAGTGTTTGTATGGACATACGCTTTCAGTTCTCTTAGTTAAATCCCTAGGAGTAGAATGGCTGGGCCACATGACAGAGGTGTGTTTAACTTTACAAAGATGTCAAACTGTTTTCCAAACTGATAGTAACATTTTATGCTTCTCCCAACAATGTATGAGAGCTCTACTTGCTCCATATTTTCTCTGGCACTTGGTATGTTAGTCTTTAAACATTTAGATATTCTAGTAGGTGATTAGCATATCTTACTGTGCTTTCATTTGCATTTTCCTAATGACTAACGATGTTGAGCATCTTTGCATGTGCTTATTTGCCATTCGTATATCTTGTTTTTGGTAGAGTGTTCAAATATAATTTTATTTTTTATTTTTTGAGACAGGGTCTTTCTCTGTCACCCAGGCTAGAGTGCAATGGTGTGGTCATGGCTCACTGCAGCCTCGACGTGGGATCAAGCCATCCTCCCAGTTTCACCTCCCAAGTAGCTGGGACTACAGGCACATGCCACCACGCCGGCTAATTTGTGTATTTTTTGTAGAGGCAAGGTTTTGCCATGTTGCCCGGGCTGGTTCGAATCTTGGGCTGACCCACTTCGGCCTTCCAAAGTGCTGAGATTACAGGTGTGAGCCACCACACCTGGCCTGGTTTGATTTTTTTCATTACTGAGTTTTGAGAATTCTTTATAAATTATGAAAATATTTTCTCCTAGTCTGTGGTTTATTTTTCCATTCTCTAAATGGTCTTCTCACATAACTTAGTGATGATTCATTCTTTTTTTTTTTTGAGTTTTTTCTTCTCTCTATGTTTTGTTTTGGATAATCTGCATATTCACTGTCTTTTTCAGGGTTGGATTTGCCATTAAACCACACAGTTCGTTTTTCAGCTCAGATGTTATAGTTCAATTTGGGTCTTTTTACATCTTTCATGTCTCTACTTAACGTGTTTGACCTTTCCTCTGGCTTCTTGAGCATACAGAATACCCTTTCAATAGCTGTTTTAATGCCCTCGTCTGTTTATTCTGTCATCTGGGTTACTGTCATTTGATTGATTTTTTTTCTCATAATAGATTGAGGTCCCTTCCTCCTGTCTCAGGTAGTTTTCTTTACATGCACATGCTGCTTGTAAAGAAAAATTAAATTGTAGAGAATTTCATCACAAAAAAAGCTGTTATTTGTTTATGTTCTTCCTTGTTGGCAACATTTTATATAGGTTATTCTCATGGCCTAAGATGCAGTATCAACTGAATACTTAAGGGGAACTGAGAGCACATCTCAGGAGTTCCCTCTCTCATTGGCCTTTCTTTCTAGAATACTACCCCTCGAACCCTAGTCGCCTTGGTCTGCCTAGACTATCAGTTTTGTCTCCTCAAATCAGGGTGTCCGCTAGCCTCCATCTGGGTGCCGCATCCTATGCTGTGGCCTAGAAATTCACTCAAGGCTGTAAACTGGGGCAATCATAAGACGTACCTTCTTTTCCTGTTGATATAGTTTGGATGTTTACCCTACCCAAATCTCATATTGAAACGTAATCCCCAGTGTTGGAGGTGAGGCCTGGTGGGACTGATTGGATCTTGGGGGTAGATTTTTCATGGATGGTTTAGCACCGTCCCCTTGATGCTGTCCTCATGATAGTGAGTGAGTTCTCATGAGGTCTGGTCACTTAGAAGTGTGTGGCACCTTCCCCTCCACTCTCTCTCTCGCTCCTCCTCCTGCCAGGTAGTGGGGCTGCTCCCCCTTTGGTTTCCACTGTGACTGGAAGCTTCCCAAGGCCTCCTCAGAAGCAGATGCTGCTATGCTTCCTGTACAGTCTGCAGAATCATGAACCAATTTAACCTCTTTTCATATAAATTACCTAGTCTCAGGTATTTCTTTATATCAGTGCAAGAACAGCCTAATATAGCTGTCTTGCAGGAATCATTGACTTACGTTGCCGAAGTGTCCAATGTCTTGAGAACCATTGTTTTTGTTGTTGTTGTTGTTGTTGTTTGATTTCTCAGTTGTTTCAGGTAGGAGAATAAAGCTGGTCCCTCTTACTCCATTTTGGCCAGAAGTAGATATCCCCATAGTTTCTTTAGGACTCTTTTAGTCCTTTGTCAAACCTCTTATTTTTACAGATTAGGAAACTGAGGAACTATACATCTATTATCTACAGTAGATAATTTGGGATTTAAGGGGCAAAACATGCAATATTTGGTGCTGAGATTGGGGGGTGAATGTCACTAAGGCTGAAGGGGTAGGAAGAAGACAGAGAGTGAAGAATGTTGAATGCCATGTAAGTAGAAGGGATTTTATTTTGTGGTTGTTGAAGGAGGAACTGAGGAAACATTTAAGTCTAGAAACAGCAGAATAAGGCTTAATGGCCTAATTAATATTAACACATCCTTTTTTAAATGCGGTTGAACTGTAGTTACCTCTGATACTAGAAGGGAATTGATAGAGTGAGGAGCTGTGTTTGCTGAGCTCTGGACCATAATCTGATCCTATCTGTGTGACTCTGAGCATATCATTTTATCACTCTTAGGCCTCAGTTTCCATGTCTGTGAAAAATTAATTGATAAAACTGAGGGTCAATGAGGTTGTTTTGAATGTGGTAACAGAACAAGTAAGGAGCAGCACCGAGGCTCCAAATCAGCTCTCAGATAGTTTTCCATGCCTATGATCCTTGAAAGCAGGATTTCATCCAAGAGAGGTAGTAATGACTGGTTGAGGCAAATAGCCACAGGGCCATAAAGATATACATAGTGGTGGTGAAGAAGTCTCCTCTGCCCACCAGCATTCCTTGACCCAGCCGTTATATCCCAACCTGACATGATTTTCTGACAATGAATGTTGAAAGCTGTTGAATGTCAGACACAAAGAGTTACACTTAACCAGCTGTCTGCAAATAAAGAATCAGAGGTCGATTGTGGTGTGCGAAGGTTTATGGTCATATGTTTTAACATAATGTTTTGGGAAAAATTAAATTGTAAAGAACTTCAATACACACACACAAAAGCTTTTATTTGTTTATGTTCTCCCATGTTGGCAAGATTTTGTATAGGCCATTCTCATGGCCTAAGATGCATATCCAGTATCCACAGTATTCCTTATATGTCTGATTGGAGAACACACACTCTTCCTTCAATTCTCAGATCAGTTACTATTAAACTTTTCCTGACTTCCCCAGGCAGATTATATATTTTTTTCCTTTCTTGATTCCTCTGCATTTTGCAAATATTGTCATTTTCATAATTGACTATTTTTTTTTCATTCTGTTTGTCTGTGTCACCCACCAGACTGTGAACTCTATAATGATAGCTATTCCTCATTTGTTCACTGTAGTATCCCTAGAACCTAGGACAATTCCTAGAACTGTTAATGCTCAATAAATATTTTTAGGTAAATGAATGAATGAATGGACATTAGGAATAGAAGGTGAAGTGATATAAGTAAGAGCCCTGCACACGGGCGTTCCCCCTTTCTCATTTGCCTCCCTTGTGCCAGCCTGAGCTTTCATGGGGTATATATGATGTCTTGCTTATTTCTACATATTTACCCTGATAGGTTGTTGCAGAACATGGCAAGGGCTCATCAGATGCTGAATGAACAAACACACTGGACTGCAGCCTTAGTTGCTTTATCTGTTGCATGAAATGGTTGAATTAGATTTCAGTCACTCAACCAGTATCTCCTGAACCTCTACCATGTGTCAAGCACTGAGCCAGGCCGGGGACAGAGGCTCACACCTGTAATCCCAGCACTTTGGAAGGCTGAGGTGGGCGGATCACCTGAGGTCAGGAGTTCGAGACCAGCCTGGCCAACAGGGTGAAACCCCGTCTCTATTAAAAATAAAACATTAGCCGGGCATGGTGGTATGCATCTGTACTTCCAGCTACTCAGAACGCTGAGGCAGGAGAATCACTTGAACCCAGAAGGCGGAGATTACAGTCAGCCGAGATCGTGCCATTGCACTCCAGCCTGGGCAAAAAAGAACGAAACTCTGTCTCAAAACAAAACAAACAAAAAACACCGAGCCTGCATCAATCATGGACAGTGGCATCAAGACTACAGACTAGTAGAATTGAAACAGGGACTATAAAGCAAGGTAAAAAATGAGGGGTCGCATGTTGAGATGAAGCTGAGACTGACAAGGAGTGAATGAGACTTAAACCCAGGCCTTTCCTCTAGAATGGGCAGGTTCTTGGTAGATGGTACAGCTGCAATTATGGAAAAAAAAAAGGTTCGAATATCAACTCCTCTACACCACGCAGCCAGAAGTAACCTTTTTTCATTCAAAATGCTATAGGCCTCTCTCCGAATCCCTTTTAGAATACCAATTCCTTTCTTGGAGGTTGTGATGTTTTATGTGTCAACTTGACCAGACCGGATATTTGAACAGACATTATTCTGGGGGTGTCTGTGAGGGTGTTTCTGGATGAAATTAACTTTAGAATTGGTAGCCTGAGTAAAGTAGATGGCCCTCCCTAAAGCGGACAGAATGCATCCAATCAATTGAAGACCTGAACAGAACAGAAAGGCTGAATGAGGGAATGCCTCCTGCCTGGCACTTGAGCTGAGACACTGATCTTTTCCTGCCTTCAGGCTCCAGCTGAAAAGCTGGCTCTTCAGCTCTTGAGTCGTGAGTTGGCTTTCAGACTGGAACTTACGCCATTCACTCTCCTAGTTCTCAGGCCCTCAGACTCAGACTAGAACCACACTATTGAATTTCCTGGGAATCCAGCTCACTGACTTCAGATCTTGGGGCTTCTTGGCTTTCAAATCATGTGAGCCAATTTCTTATAAGTCTCTTTACACACTCATACACACTGTCTGTCTGTTTATCTATTATCTATCTATCCATCCATCTATCTCCTGTTGGTTTTGTTTCTCTGGAGAACCCAGACTAATATAGGTGGTAAAAAATAAAACAAACAAACAAAAAAAAAAAACTTACCCTTTTTTTTTTTTTTTTTTTGAGACAGAGTCTAGCTCTGTCACCCAGGCTGGAGGGCAGTGGCATGATCTCGGCTCACTGCAAACTCCGCCTCCCGGGTTCATGCCATTCTCCTGCCTCAGCCTCCCAGGTAGCTGGGACTACAGGCACCCGCCACCACGCCCGGCTAATTTTTTGTATTTTTAGTACAGACAGGATTTCACTGTGTTAGCCAGGATGGTCTCGATCTCCTGACCTCGTGATCCACCTGCCTCGGCCTCCCAAAGTGCTGGGATTACAGGCGTGAGCCACCGCACCCAGCAACCTACCCTTTCTTGAGCTAAAACATGACAGGTACTGGGCTAAGTGATTTATAGCCATAACCTTATTTAGTCCACATAACACTCCTCTGAGGGTGGATGTAATTTCTAGCTTATAGATGGAAACTTTGAGGCTCAGAGGAGAGACGCACCATATCCAAGGTCACACAACAAGCAAATGACTATTCAGGTTAAAACCCTGTTTCCTCTAGTTCAATACTCCATGCTATTTCTCCTCTACTCAACCACATCCTTCTGTGCATGTTTTGTTTCTCGATTAGGCAGTAAGTTATCTATGGGCAAAAATTAAGTATAATTATTATTATTTTTTTCTATTTGTTCACTTTTAATTCTTGTGCCGATCATGGTATTTGGCACATGAAGGTGAGGAGGGGGCGGTGGCCGCAGGAATTATTGTATGATCTACTTGGGTCATGGGACTTCTCTGCAGGGAAAGACTTTAGAAACCACCTAACCCTTTCCACCCCTCCCTTTGTTCTTGTTTCTAGACTGATTCCTTTCTTCTCCATGCTGTTAGTAATTAATACATGGCACGTATTCCCCAAGGAATTGCAGGACATCCTGAAGTTTGCACCAAAAGTTTGGGGAGCATACCTCCTCAGGGCACACTTCCACAAGCCCCTTTTGGCACCTTGGTTTTCCTGCCACCTGGGCCTGGAGCCAGATATGCAGTTGGGCTGGAGCAGGGAGTAGAGAGTGTGAGCTAAAGAGCACACAGAGACCCTGACAGGCTCCTGGGGCCCCCAGTGGTTGAACTCTGGTTATAAATAGAAGGAATATGAAGCAGAATGTCTTTTTAATATGCACATGGAATTCATTTATTTAATGAAGAATTTTCCTGGAACAGAGAGCTTGCCGTCAGAGCTGAGCTATTTTTGAGTAGGATGTGAAGGAAAAACTCTGGAGAATTATTTGCTGTTTGGATTTATGCTTTTAAAATGGGTTGTAATAAAAAAGCAAAACTATAGGAACAGAGTTAAGATCAGTGTTTGCCAAGGGTTGGAGGTAGGTGCAAGGGATTGACTGGAAAGAGGTGTGAAGTGACTTTCTGGGGTGATGGCAGCATTCTGTATCTACTGTGGTAGTGGTTACATGGCTGCATATGTTTGTCAAAACGTGTAGAACAGTTCACCTAAAATGTATGAATCTTACTACTATATGTAAATTATGCCTGACTTACAAACAGTGTGTCACCATGTTCTTTCTGAGGGAGAAAAAGGAGTGGGGAATGAATGCTTTCAAACATCTCCTTTGGGTGGGGTTCTTTGTAGCTTCTTTACGTTATTTATTCTATTTAATACCTGCCAAGGACTATGAGATAGAGATTATTATCCACATTTTACAGATGAAACACCTGAGGTTTTGAGAGCTTAAATTAATTGCCCAAGGTCACATATCAGCTTCTAGTGAGAAGTAGGTTTCCAAATTCCACAATGACCTCCCTCCATTACCTGATGTTCATGTAGATGGAGCTTAGAATTAAAGCCTTGAAAATAGAACTGAGTTTTTGCTCCTTGAAAAAATGCTTCAGACAGCTCCATGCTTTCTCTCCAAAATGTTCCCACATTCTATGTTCTTTGACTGTTTCTGGCTGCATCTGGGAAAGGGTCTTAATAAGGTGTTAATGGTCTTTAACAGCTTTATTTAGTGCCCTTAGATCTCCCTTTTTATCAAGCATGCTTGGCTTTGGGTATACTTTGAAATCTTAAAGGGATGGGAAGTCTTCTGTAGGACCTGGTGTCATTCCTGGATCCCATTCCCATGGCTGGCATCATTAATCAATCATGATGCTCTATGAACCCTGACTTGCCCTTGTGATGCTCCGTAACATGGTCCTCTGGGCAGTAATTACTAACAGATTTGAGTTGGCATTCAAGATATCAAAGCCTATTTTGCATACTACCTGTGTTGCTAGGCCTAACCTGGGTACATTTATAAATTGAGGGTGAAATCTTATCTTTTCACTCCTTAGACCTGGAACCCTGATAAGAGTTAATGTCTGGATCTAGAGGCAAAAGTCGAAAGAAAGAACAGGGATTGGAAAATTACAACTGGGTTTAGAGATCAGCTCTGTAACACTTTCCTCTATCTCACCCCAACACTCATTTTCTTCATCTGTAAAATGGGGATAATCATAATAATAGCTATCTAAAGGTGTTGAGGTGAAGCTCATATTGAATGAGATAGCACCCAGAAAACAGAAGCTCATTATCGCTAAGAACTTTCACATGCATTATCTTGTTCAACCTTACAATAAAGTTATGCATAGGAAATTTAAATCTACATTATACAGATATACTTAATTTGTTCATGTCGCACAGTAAAGCTTAAGTTGAGAACTGAACTCAGGCCTGACTCCAAAGCTCATATTGTTAATGACAAGCTACACTGCCTCTTGTTCCAGGCATGGAACAAACAGTATTTGGGATAGTCCCTCCTTTCTTCCAGGTCTGAGAGGATGGGCAAGGACTCAGATCAGGGGCTACCACCACATTAGGCTGGTGCAGGCACTGAAGAGGTGGAAGTAGTCCAGTGTGGCAAGAAAATCTGGGAGTGGTGGTAGGTACAGGTACCAGCACACACCTGTGTTAAGGACCTTATATCTGGAAATGGTTCTTTCAGGGTCCTGCTGGTCTATTTGGTGCCTTTGTATGAATTAGAAAAAAATGCTCCGTTTGGGCAGATGAATCGTATAAGTTTACTCCCTCTGGAAGAACACAGCTCAAAAGAATCAAGGCTGAGTGTTTGGATTCAAAAATTCTTCTGAGCAGAAGAATTAGTACAGTGTGGACTGGATCTCAGCAAGCATTCAGCTCCTCAGCTAATGTGTCTGTGCTGAACATAATTATACAGCAGTACAAAGTGGTCCTGGGTCTTGATGGGATGGAAAGGTGTAGTCTTAAGGAATCTAGGAACAGAAAAAAGATAAATGTCCAGGGAGCAATTTTGTTAGGGAGTTAACACCATTGGCCTGAACCAGAATTGGATCCAGCTCTAAACAATTTCAAAGCCAGTGTGACTGATCATGAGAATCACTTGGGGTGTTGGGGGAGTGCGTCCTGGTAAAAATGCAGATTATCTGCTCCTTCTCCTAAACAATCTAACTCAGTAAGTCTGAGGTGGCCAATTCGAATGATCAGAAAAGTTTAGGAAATACTGCTCTATCTCATGCTTATCACACTGTGCTGTAACTGTCTCTATTAGCAACCCTGGTTACCATCTGGTCGGCTGGACCATGAATGTTTCAAGGGCAAGGCCATGTCTGATTCAATTCCACATCCACAGCACGTAAAGCAACGTCTGGCAGAGCAAAGAACTCACCCATCAATTGAATGACATCATGGCCAATCTACGAGTTCTGGCTTACTTCTCATGCTATTATCACATCTGCCAAGGTAACTAAAACTATGTGTATTCCTTCCTGCCTCCTCACTTCTTCCTATTTCCCTAACCACCATCTATTACTCAACCTAACCCGAAAAAGGACAGGCCTGACACTATGGAAGACGCTTTCAGACTTAAATCTAGAACGTGGCATGTTTCCTGCTATTCACACCTATGTTTGGGTCTGGGCTCCATGATGGTGCATATTTGGGCCTCATTTCTCCCTCTATAAAATGAAACAGTTTTACAACATGATTTCTGAGATCTCTTCCAAGTCTGACATGCTAGAGTCCTCTGACAGGAATCTAGAGTTTCTAGTAAATTCTGTGAGATGTGAAGGCCTTCTTCGAGGCCTCCATATTGGCATCCTTCAGCTTGCTGGTTGGAGCCCAGGTGACGGACAGCTGCAGTCTGGGATTTTCCTGAGGTCGACTTCACTGGTGGGTAGGCTTCGATTACTGGGCATGTTCCAGCAGGCTCAGGGCACCCCTGTGGGCAGGTCAGTAAATACTGGCTGCTTGACGATGTCTTGGATGGGAAGCCAGTTGGATGAGGGATGTGTGCGAAGCCCTGGAAAACGCAGCAGTTCAAAGGCTGTGCTGAGTAGGTTTCCAAATGGACTTACCCTCTCAGACTTTGAATTCCAGCTCCATCGGAAAAACACAAGTGTTTGATTCCAACGGAATGGCTTCTAGTAATAATAATAATAATAAAAAGGGCTTTGATGACTTCTTGGAAATCAGTTTCTATAAAATGGTGTTTTGAGAATTTGAGTGCAAGTCAAGCAGAAACATGGATTGAAATTCTTCCCTTTCATACCCATTCTTTTAAAATATTTTATTTTTAAATATGAAAATAATGTGTGCATATTATTAAAGAATGCAAACACTACAGTAAAGTACAAAATAAAAAGAGCAAGTCTTTCTTCCTCCCTCCCTTCTCATCCTGTCTCATGGGATAATAATTTATTTATTTGTGTGTGTGATTAGTATGTGAGTTAAAATATATATTTTTTAATTTTATTGTGGTAAATATACATAACATAAAATTTACCATTTGCCACTTTTAAGTGTCCAGTTCAGTGGCATTAAGTATATTCACATTATTGTACCTATCACCACATTCATCTCCACAACTTTTTTCGTTTTCCCAAACTGAAACTTTGTATCCATGGGACAAAGCTTCCCATTCATCCCTGGTACTAGCCCCTGGTAGTCAGCACTCTACTTTCTGTCTCTATGAGTTTGACTGTTTTAGGTATGTCAGATAAATGGAATCATATAATATTTGTCTTTTTGTGACTGACTTATTTCACTTACCATAAACAAATTTTGACTATTTTTTATTTAGGTACTAACCTATATTTTCTTTATTTTTGACTATTTTTTTTATTTAGGTACTAAACTATTTTTACCATAACTCTAATTATATGCTTATATCATGTCACTTAACCTCTCAAACTTAAACAGTATTTGTTAATTCCTTGCAACGAAAGATTTAGCATAATTACCTCACATCCAAAATTCCTTTACACTCTTCATCTCTCATGCTATCATTTCTAGATCTTCAAGTAGGTGTTCCTTTCTTCTGAACTCCAGACTCATACCCAACTGCCTGTTTGCTATCTCTACCTGGCAGTCTAATAAACATCTCAAACTTAAAGTGTCCCCAGCTAACTAAATTCATGGTCTTTTGCCTTATCCCACTTACCCTCTCCAATCTGTCTCCATTTTAGTCTTCCCTGCTCAGTGAATGCCACTTCATCTGTGTAGTTGCTCAGCTCTCAAATCTTGTAATCATCTTCCAGTCCTTTTTGTCCTCTTCAAATCTCACATCCAAAGTGATGAAAACTCCTGCTGACTGTGCCTCAAAATATATCCAGACTCTGACCATTTCATACTAACTTGCCCTAGGTTAAATCATCGTCACCTCTCACATGGATTATCGAAATAGTCCAGCTTGTCTTCTGCATCCTCCTTTTCCCTCCTGTAGTCGAATTACAAAATAGTAACCCAAGTGGTTCTTCCAAAATGAAAGTCAGATCATGTCACTCCTCTGCTCAGAATCAGCCAATCACTTTCTATCTCATTCAAATAAAGGTCAAAGTCTTTATAATGGCCCAGGGGGCTCCATACCAGTGATTTTCAAACTTTAATGGGCATAGGATTCAACTAGGGATCTTGTTAAAGTGCAGATTCTGATCCCAAGGGATCTGATGTTGCTGGTTGGAGGACCACACTTGTATTGCAAGACTACACAATCTCCTGCTCAGACCTGCAATTGCAATCCTCCTGCAAAATCCAGCCTTGGGTCTGCCCCCCATTGCTCTCTTCCTCCCTCTTCTTGCTCCAGCCTCGTGGTTCCTTTGTTGCATGCTCCCACCTCAGTCTTTACACTTGCTGTTCTCTCTGCCCAGAACATTTTCCCCCCCAGACATGGGATCTAAGGCTCACTCCCTCCCCTTCTTCAGCTCCTTGTCCAAATATCTGTTTCTCCCATGGCCTTCTCTCATCTCCCTGTTTAAAATGGCAACCCTTCTCTTTATGGCTCTCCCTAGTCCTCATTCCTGCTTATTATTATTTTATTTTTTATAGCAATAGTGTGCAAACTATGACTCATGGGCTGTGGGTCAACTTGAGCCCACTGCTTGCTTTTGTAAGTAAAGTTTTATTAAAACAAAGTCACATACATTTGTTTATATATTGTTTATGACTGCTTTCCTGCTACAGTGGCAAAGTTGTGTGTGACAGAGATGACTTATGGCCTGAAAAATTTAAAATATTTACTATTTATTTGCTTTTTACAGAAAAAGCTTGCTGACCCCTGCTTTGTAGTATTGACCACCATTTGACTTACTATAAATAGATAAGTCAATCATTTATTTGTTTATTGTATGTTTCACCTCGCTAAATTGTAAACTCCACGATTAAAGGGGTTTTGTCTGTTTACTGTTATATTCCTAATACCTAGAAAGATGCCTAGCGTAGTCACTCAGTAAATATTTGTTAAATAAATAATTATTTTTACAAGTTAAAAAATATATATTTAAACTTCTTTTTTTTGTCAGCAGTTTAGACAGCATCAACTGACTTCCCACCAAGTGAGAGGACACTCTTGGACTGCACTTTCTTCCCCTCTCCTTCCACCTTTCTTGACTCCTGATGGCCAACATCATTTTTATATTTTCAGTGTTTATACCAATTACATCCTGTACTATCGTTATTACTAAACCTTAATTGTTTCGCCTATAGGTTGATTCTAAATATTCCAAAGAAGCATATCAAATATTGTAATTGGGCAAGCAATATTTACTACAGAATCTAAGTATGTGATTGAACCCATGGAGAAGAAATGATAACTCTAAGCCATGGGCATAAAGGGCAACATGTCTGTTATCAGGGGTAAATGGATTCGCTTTTCTAACTCTGTCAATTGCTTAAAATCATACATATTTGGGGCATGACTTTTGTATATGCCTTCTAATCTTTCCCAAAGTCCCTAATTAATCTTTTTTTAATTCATAGAAGATATAAATGTCTTCATCAAATATTTAAGATCCTGTGCTTCTCAAACCTATAATGTTTGAAATGGAATTTACTTTCTCCTTTAAGATTTTCACAAAACCTTTAGCTTTTTGTTTTAATTTTGGTGGAATGCTTGTTAGATCTGTTGCATAGCTGTCAACCCTGTCTTTACATTTACTTCTGGATTACTTCCATCGTATCTTGTATCAAGTATGTTTCTCCTTCTTAGCTTCTACTTTCATTTTGCTAGATTATATCCTTAAGTAATTGTTTTTTGAAGTGGAGTTTGGGAGGTAACTCTAGTTGCTCTAACACATTACCACAAATTTAGTGGCTTGAAACAACTCAGATTTATTATCTACAGTTCTGTAGGTTAGACGGCTGATATGCATCCCACTAGGCTAAAATCAAGGTATCCACAGGGATGAGCTCTTGTCTGAAGGCTCTTGGAGTAAGTCTGTTTCCTTGCCTTTTTCAGCTTCTAGAGGTCCACTGGCATCCCTTGGCTTGTGGCCCCTTCCTCCATCTACAACACCAGTAACATTACATGTCCCTGACCATGATTTTGTAGTAACATTTCCCTCTAACCACAGTGTTGAAGGTTTATTGGTTTTTAAAGAAGACGTTGATTCTTTTAATTGACTAATCAAAATGGTATATATTTGTGGTGTATAAAATGATGTATTGAAATATGTGTATACTGTGGAATGGCTAAATCAAGCTAATTAACAAAGGTATTAAAGTATCTTGCTTTTAATGACTCATGTCAAGGTCTTTAATTTGATTGCATCTGCAAAGTTTCTTCTGTAATGAAAGGTAACATATTCACAGTTTTCTGGAAATACAATGTGGATAACTTTATCCGTGGTGGAGGCTAAGAGGAGCCTTGTTTTTTCTACGACCTAACATTTCAGAATCCTCCCAAATACTGGAATTTCTTTAATTAAGCTTCACACTGCTTATAGAATTCTAGGTTCAAAAACATGTCTCCTCAGAACTTTGGAGACACTTGTCCTCTGTCATTTGGGG
Organism: Homo sapiens; assembly: GCF_000001405.40. Taxonomy (NCBI): domain Eukaryota; kingdom Metazoa; phylum Chordata; class Mammalia; order Primates; family Hominidae; genus Homo; species Homo sapiens. The sequence continues at coordinate 56,313,843 of NC_000001.11, read as the reverse complement.
TCTAGTATTGTTGAAACAAGATCTGAGCGCAGTCTGATTTTTGTCCTTTGTAAGTACATTTACGCTCACATCCTTTGACAGCTTTTAGGACTGTCTCCTTGACATTTTATCAGACTATGACTGGGAGTGGGTTTTTGTTTTGTTTGTTTTTTACATCCATCACATGTCATATTGGAATAGCTCTTTCAACATGAAGAATTGCATCTCCATTTAAGATAAAAAATATTTTCTTCCTGTTTTTTCTTTGATAACATTGGAACTCTCACAGCCTTCACTAATTTCTCCACCTAGTTTTTTCATGTCTGAAACTCTTATTAAAGGAATGCTGATCCTTCTGGATTTATTCTCCATTTAGTTTAAGTTTTAATTTTCTTGTATTTTCCTTCTCCTCACCTTTTGCTGCATGTTCCAAGAGATATTTTTGACTTCATTTTTCAAATTACTAATTTGGTCTTTAACCATAACTAATCTATTACTTAGCACCTCCACTAAATTTCAAAAATGTTGACAAACATAGTTTACATTTCCAAGAACCCTTGACTCCCTCTTTCTCATAGCAACAATAACTTCAAATTTCTCAGAGATTACACATTAAATTTATTTTGAAAATTCTCTTCTGTTTCTTGCTTATTTCTATTCCTCCAGATTCTGTCGTTTGCATTTTCTTAATGTTTGTCTTTTTCTTTCTCATCAGTTTTCCTCAAAGGTGGACCCAGTTGACTTCCTTTTATTTGTGAATCTCTTGCTTGATAGCATACGTAGCTGGCATAGGTTCCCTTTGTAATCCTGCAATCCTGCAGGTTGTTTACCCAAAATGCCTTTTCTCTAGATTGGTGAGCTGATGGTGAGCTCGGTGCAGATGAGTGTGTCTTGCTGAGTGGCAGGCTTGTCTTTATTGTGCATGATGGGGAGCAGGCCAGTTTGCTTGCAGCCCCACAGTGTCCACGCTGAGTTGATCCTTGGGTTGGAGCACTGCAGCACATTTCCCTTCTTCACAGAAGCATCCTTCCTCTCTTTTTTCAGGTCAAGGAAAGGTTGGGGATTTATGCTGAACTCTTCTCTGCCTCCATCCATAGCCCCTGTCCAGACTATGGGCCATCTCCAGCCTAGGCTTGACTCCCTCACCATGGCCCATTCCATAGCCTTCTTGGCTATCCTGTTTTTTCTTCAATAAGATCAGCACACTCATGACCTTCCCTAGCTGACAGCATTCCAGGGATCCATCAGGTGACACAGCGCACACACCACAGTCCTCTGCTTGTGTCTTCCACTGAGTTCTTACGCTCCAGTTTAAGCCTCAGTGATCCCGTTTGCTTTCTGCCCTCCATGGAAACCCGAGTAAATCTCTGTTGTGTGGGTATCATGCTCTTTTTTTTTTGATTAGAACTAATAATGATTTATGTATTCTATTTTGTACAACTTTGTTTAATGGGCTCTTATATGAGTGGGTTGCCTTATCTGCTATCTTGAACCATAAACCTGAAATTCTAAAAGTCTAAACACTATTCAATTTGAAGGAAATAACATGTATCTCCTCCATTAAGGAGTTTTTTTCTCCCCTCCTCTCTACCCAGATTGGTCAAGACCCCTCGTTGGGGCTCCCATGGGAGCATCTTGTGCTTCTGTTTACCATGCCACATCACATTACTATTTGACTCTCTCTGTAGTCGCTGCACATCCAGGTTATAAGGCCTTTGAGTGTAGGTTACATGTTCATCTTTAGATCTCTGGAGCCGCACACATAGTAGATGTGCAATGAATATTTCCAGATTGAATGCATGCACACCTACTCAATAAACATGGGGAATTAAGGGTGGCATCATATAGCTTTAGCTTTCAAGGAATTCAAGGCATATGGAGGAAAACAGACATGACAACAAATAATCTTCAGACAGTGTAAATAGGGCAGGTACAAAGTGTATGGGCCCACAAGCAAGAGAACAGATAACTGTGCCTGGGGTGGGTATAGAGGTCAGTAAAGGCCCAAAGTTATGTTGTTAGTTTTGAAGGGCACATAGGAGCTGTCGAGAGTATTGGGTGTATTAGAGCCTTCCAGAAACAAAAGAGAAATTCAAAGTTAATTATGGCTGGGGTGTAAAGTATAATGGGGGCAGTGGCAGGGGAGGGATCCTAAGAAATAGGAAGGGGATAGAGCATACCAAGAGCATTGGCAGCCCAGGAAACACTTGTCTTTTATCCTGAGTCGAGACACCAGAAGGTTTTAATCAGAGAGTGGCATGCTCATATTGATATAAAGATTTCGACTGCAATATAGAGGATGGACTGGCAGAGTCCCGAAGATTTGGGACTTGAATGCAGTAGTACAGGGTAGATGTGATGAGGGATTGACCAGGGAAGTATGGGCTGGGATGCAGAGAGAGAGACAGATTTAAGTGATGGCAAGAGGCTAGAATGGGCAGGGTTTGGTGGCTGCTTGGTGTCAGGAGTTGCTGGAGAGGAAAGGGGGCAAGCATTCTGAGGGCCCTTCCAGTGCTGGGGTTCCAGGATCAAATGACTACAGAAAGAACATGAGCTATGTTGGTTTTTAGTCAATGTAAAGTGAATGGCAGAAAGGCTGTGGCTGGAGTAATTTATGAGATTCCATCGGGTTGTTTCCATCTTTTCTGAAGCTGCAGATTCTAGCTGAAATGAGAAAAAGGTGCATCTTCAGTTCTGTTTTGACAGCCTGTCTACCCACTTCGTTCCCAGGAGGATGTCCTGGTAACATACATAATATCAGCTTCTTGTCAATTTGGTTTAATTTTTAAAAATTGGATTAGCATCCAACTGAAATGGATGTCAACTGCTTGGAATGCATCTTTGGATCTGAGTGATTTTGATATGAAACAAATGTGATCGCCTAATAAAGGTTTTATTATGCAGAACCATCTTGATGTTTCAGCCACATCCCAAGGTTAACTCTTAAGAACCCAGCAAAGAAAGAAATATATTTCACTGTTTTGCCTTTGTGGATTATACTGTATCATGGTGATTATTTACTGTCCCTAACAATGACAACACCACACAAAAATGTTCATGAAAAGAAAGGGAATAGGTCTTACCATATACTAAGTGCCTTCTGTATGTTAGGCATGTCCACTTATATTATCGCATAGATTCTCATGAGTTAGGAGGCGGGACTCAACACCAGAAGTGTGTCTCAGACACCCAACCAGATTGAGGACTAGCTAAAACAGGGCCAGGGTGGAAGCAGCTTTGCAATCAGACATGCCCACCAGTGTGCCATGTCAATTTGTCTTTGCCATGGCAACACCTGGGAGTCACTGCCTCTCTCCATGGCATGACCCTATGACCCGAAAACTACTACCCCTTCCCTGGAAACATTTGCATAAACTGCCCCTTAATCTGCATGCAATTAAAAGTGGGTATAAATATGACTGCAAAACTGCCCTGAGCTGCTAACCTGTGTCTGTGGGGTAGCCCTGCTCTGCAGGGGCAGTCATGAAGCTGTAACACCACCAGAGATGTAACAGTGCCTCTTCAATAAAGCTGTTTTCTTCTACCTCTGGCTTGCCCTTGAATTCTTCCCTGGGCAAAGCCAAGAACCCTTGTAGGCTAAGCTCCACTTTTGGGCTCGTCTATCCTGCATCACTCACAACCACATTAAAGATAAGTATTATGTCCATCTGATGGATGTGGAAATTAGATCTCATAGGGGTCTCTAAGTTGGTAAATGGAAGAGGGGAATTCAAACTCAGAACCAAGTGATGTATGGAGCACCTATTATAGCCTGACATTATACTCACACTTCTTTATTTAACCCTGAAAGCAATGTAAAATATAAAGGCTTATAGAAGCTAAATAAAAAGAGGCTTAGCAAGATTAAATAACTCCCCCAAGGTCACTCATCAGAGACCTATGCTTTCTTTTTCCCTCTTTATTTGCACACCAAAGATAATTATTCTATACATAAAGGTGTGTTAACAAATACATGGGCAATATTATGTCATTGCTAGGAAAACTCCTTATGATGCTATTCAGATAAAGAGAAAGAAACCTTTTTCAGAAGCAAAAACTTCTGTTTGCTAGAGAGCTATTCACAGAGCCTTTAAAGAGGGGGCCAGGGACGGGGAGTAGGTTGCTCCAGGCCCTGTATTAGACTGCTCCACATGCCACATGTAATTCTAACACCCCAAACAAACCTTTGGGGTGGATGTAATTATTCCTGCTTCCCAGATAGAAAGAAACTGAAGTTCAGAAAGGTTATGTAAAGGTTAAGTAATTTGCCCAAGGTTCCTACCCAGGTCTCTCTGACCCAAAGCCACAGGTTTTCAGGATAGTGCTAACCTACTTTGAGGGCAGTTATTTAGAGAAATGTGAAAAGGAAGAAGGTGATCAGAATGCAAGCTCTGCCATTGGCATTTCATTTGGCCCCTGATGTTTCCCTGGGTAGGTGGTGAATAAATGCCCTTTGATGAAATTTGCAGATGATTCTAAATCAGGCCCTGGGTAAACATGAGCAGCACAGAAAAGCAATACAAATGATCCCAAATGAGGGAGGTTAGAAGTGCAGGCAGGAAATAACATGATGAGACTGATTACCACACGGGAAATTCTGAATTAAAACATCTGGGTAGGCCAATGTGAAACAGGCCACTAACATAAGCACCCTTCAGTAGCTCCAGCTCTGCAGTTGGAAGGGCCTGAGTCAATCCTCTCAAACCCTGTCAGTGCTTTATTAGCTGAGTTTATGTAATATTCTAGATCCTTTGTTTTCATGTCAATCATGTTCATGGGATGTTCACCAGAATTAGATTGTATCTTAATGAACTGCTTTCTTTGCTCATTCATAAGAAGCAACTTCTCATCTGTTCAAGTCTTAGCATGAGATTACAGCAATTTAGTCACATCCTCAGGTTCCACTTCTAATTCTAGTTCTTTTTCTATTTCCACCATATCTGCTATTACTTCCTCTACTGAAGTTTTGAATTCCTCAAATTCATCCATGAGGGTTGGAGTCAATTTCTTCCAAATTCCCATTAATTATTGACCTCTTCCCATGAATTGAAAATGTTCTTTATGGCATCTAGAATGGTGAGTCTTTTCCAGAAGGTTGTCAATTTTCTTTGCCCAGATCCATCAGAAGAATCACCATCAAGGGCAGCGATAACCTTATTAAATGTATTTTTTAAATAATAAGTCTTGAAAGTCAAAATTATTCCTTGATCCTTGGGCTACAGGATAGATGTTGTGTTAGCAGGCACGAAAACAATGTTAATCTTGTTGTACAGCTGTATTGGAGCCCCTGGGTGACTGGGTGTATTGTCAATGAACAGGAATATTTTGAAAGGAATCTTTTTATCTGAGCAGTAGGTCTCAACAGTGAGCTTAAAGTATTCAGTAAACTCTTCTGTGAATAAATTGTGCTGTCATCCAGGCTTTGTTGTTGCATTACTAGAACACAGGTAGAGTAGATTTAGCAGAGTTCTGAAGAGCCCTAGGATTTCCCTAATGGTCAATAAGCATTAGCATTAGGAAACGGTCATGCTCAACATAAGTCACCAGCTGCATTAGCCTCTAACAAGAGAGTCAGCCTGTACTTTGAAGCTTTAGAGCCAGGCATTGACTTCTCCTCTCTAGGTAAGAAATTCCTAGAGGGCATCTTCTTCCAACAGAAGATTGTTTACATTTACTTCTACATTGAAAATCTGTTGTTCAGTATAGCCACCTTCATCAATGATCTTAACTAGATCTTCTGAATTACTTTCTGCAGCTTCCACATCAACATTTGCTGCTTCACCTGGAGACAGCTTCTTTCCTTAAACCTCATGAACCAACCTCTGCTAGCTTCCAACTTTTCTTTTGCAGCTTCTTCACCTCTCTCATATAATTGAAGAGAATTAAGGCTTTGCTCTGGATTAGGCTTGGGCTTAAATGAATGTTGAGGCTGGTTTGATTATCTACCCAAACCACTGGAACTTTCTTCATGTGAGCAGTAAGGCTGTTTCTCTTTCTTATCACCTGTATGTTCACTGGAGTAGCATTTTTAGTTTTCTTTAAGAACTTTTCTTTTGCATTCACAACGTGGCTAACTCTTTGGCACAAGAGACCTAGACTTTGGCCCCATCTTGGTTTTTGACATTCTTACCTCACTAAGCTTAATCATTTCTAGTCTTTGATTTAAAGTGAGAGATGTGATGTGTGACTCTTCTTTTATTTGAACACTTAAGAGGCCATTGTAGAGTTATTAATTGGCCTAATTTTAATATTGTTGCATCTCAAGGAATAGGGAGGCCTGAGGAGAGGGAGAGAGAAGGGAGAATGGCCAGTGGTTGGAGTAGTCATAACATGCACATTTATCAATTAAGTTCACCATCTTGGATGTGGTTCGTGGCACCCCCAAATAACCACAGCAGTAACATCTGATCACAGAGCGTTGATCACAGATCACCATAAAACATATAATAATGTAAATGTTTGAAATATTGTGAGGATTACCAAAATGTGACATGGAGATATAAAGTGAGCACATGCTGTTGGAAAATGGTGCTGATAGATTTGCTTAAGGCAGTGTTGCCACAAACTTTCAATTTGTAAAGAATGTAACATCTGCAAAGTGCACTAAAGCAAAAGTGCAATAAAATGAGGTATGTCTGTAAATCATAATATATGATTCTCCCCTAAACGTTTGAATGTCTTAATTCACTCAATTCTTATAGCAGTACTGTGAGATAGGTACTGTTAAGTTTCAACAGGTACTTGGGGAATGGAATGTTACTAACCTATCAGTAAATCAAATCAAATGTGAAATGTCAAGTAAAAGTAATTTGTAAACTTCAAGCACCATAAAAATATAAGTTAGCATTTTAGTTCTATTTCTCCACTTTGATGTAGGGGGTACACTGCTCAGGCTTATAAAAAAGGGAGGAGAATAATTTATAGAGAATTCACAAACTTTGTCCTTCGTGAATGTGATTTCATTTAATCTTTACTACAGCTATTTGAGGAAGATATAACTAGCCCATTTTATAAATTTGGAAACTGAAGCTCAGGTAAATTAAGTAATTTAGTAGCTTGCTCAATAGCCACCCAACTATGAAGTGGCAAAGTTATGATCCCAACCCAAGTTGGCTGTCTCTAAAGCCCTGGTGCTTCCAGAAATGGCTAGGGAAGAAGAGGAGGCAGGGAAATGGGGAGCAGAAAAATAGGAGGATTCTGATGGGTTTGCAGGGCTCCACAAGTAGGGTTGGATTACAACAGGGATTAAAAATATCAAGGCAGGGAGAGGTGGCTCAAGCCTATCATCCCAGCTCTTTGGGAGGCCAAGGCAGGCAGATCAATTGAGTCCAGGAGTTCCAGACCAGCCTGGCCAACATGGTGAAACCTAAAAATACAAAAATTAGCCAGGTGTGATGGCGGGCACCTGTGATCCCAGCTACTCGGGAGGCTGAGGCAGGAGAATTGCTTGAACCCGGGAGGCAAAGGTTGTAGTGAGCTGAGATTGTGCCACCGCACTCCAGCCTGAGTGACAGAGCAAGACTCCATCTCAAAAAAACAAAACAAAACAAAACAAGACAAAACAAAACTGGAGCATTGTATCTACTCTGCTTTCAGCACTGTCTCAAATGTTTTTCTTATTCTGAGAGTCAGAAGCAGATGTCCTTGAAGTACCTCTGTTCTCAGGGAAAGGCTGATGAGCACTCTGAAGGGAAGAGCAAGGGTTGAGATGTGTGCCTGTGGGCTCTATGAACTGTGAACACAATGATTACTGTGCTTGGGTTTTACTTTTTTTTTTTTTTTTTTTTTTGCCCCCAAGCATCAGCAAGAAAGCATAGTGCAATTGGTGTGAATACTGAACCAGAACTTAGGTGATAGCACCTGGGAACCTTGCTAACTTGCTTTCTGCCCTTTGGCCCTCCCCAGTACCTGCCTCTAGAGGATCTCCTTCTTAACTGAGTAAGAGTGGACTGGACCAGCTGACATGTAAAGGCCCTTCCTGATCTATATCCTATGGTATTAATTTATTGTTTTATATTCTAACTTCCTACATCTTAAAGAGGGTAATTCAGGTCTAACTTTGAAAGAAGAGGTGGCATTCTGGTCTGGTATTTCTGAAGCATACCTTTATTAATGTCACATCTATGCTTAGCTCTCTTGTATGATACTTTTGCAGGTTTCTTACACTATGTGTTTCAGGCCCTGTACTCAATACTTTAAATGCTTATATTATTTAATTAGATGGTATGGGGTGGTAATGAGGGAAGTGGGGGAGAAATGCTTGAAAGGTAGATTCCCTGTTTGCAATCCCAGGTTCACTTAGTACTAACTGTAAACCTTAAACGAGTTACTAACCTCTCTAGGCTTCAGTTTATCCTCTGTAAAAGAGAGTAATAATAGTACCTACCTGATTGAGTTGTTGAGAGCAGTAAATAAGTCTGTTTTAGGAAAGCATGTAGAAGAGTGTCCGGCCCATAGTAAACACTCAACGATACATTATTTTTTAAATAAATTCTTACCAACACTCTCATTTACACATGAGAAAATGGACCTTCAGAAAGTTTAAGAAACTTACTCGAGGTCCTAGAGTAAGCAGATGCTAGGAATAGTGATGGCCGTTTTAGGATATTTTGATTGTATTTCAACCATGGTCTTGGAAGTGCTTATATCGTAACTGACACTCTCTTATCTATGATACTCTACAGGCAGAGATTTCTAAACCGCAAAGCAGGCCAGGCCATTCCCAGATTAAACCCTGAACTGGCTGTTCCTTGTGAAGAGGAAATAAATCTGAGCTCCTTAGTATTACACACAGACTTCTTTTTATTTATTTATTTACTATTTTTAATTTAAATAGGTTTTTGGGAAACAGGTGGTGTTTGTTTACATGAGTCAATTCTTTGGTGGTGATTTCTGTGATTTTGGTGCACCCATTTCCCAAGTGGTGTACCCTGTACCCAATGTGTCAGACTTCTTTCTACCTCCCCAACCTCACTGCAGCACCCCAACCCACCCAGACATCTTTGCTTTCAGGCCTTCACTTAGGACTTTCCCTGTGCTTAGAATGGTGTTTCTCCTTCTGTACTGACCAACTCCTTCTTGGCTTTCAGTTTTCACTTAGATGTTAGTGCTTCTAAGATGCTATAGCCCAAGAATCCCTTCCATTGTCCACTTGGAACCTTCTGTCTCATCACTTCCCCCCGTCTGCTTATTTGTCCTTATAACTTCTTTGCTGAATCCTATTCAGACTGATGTGCCATTTCATTGTGGGATGGATCAGTCTCCAATCTGGAACTTTTGGAAGGTGCCATTCTCATCTCTCTAGGCCATTCCTGCTTACCCAAGGAAGATGAGTGAACAGTCAGCACTCAGTTTATAATACGAGCATGATGAACTGATACATCTCCAGCCAAAAATGGTGGTAAGAAAAATTCTTTTCAGTTCTCTTAGCATGGTGGCCCTATTATGGGTATAATATGATTTCCTTGAAGTCTTGTAAAATTTTGACAGGATCCCCTAAGCTGTTCTTTGGGGAATTTTCTCTAGGACTTTGTTCACAAGGCTGAACCTCAAGGCTCTTAATTATGCCACAGGACAGCAGGGAAGCAGTTGAGGAGAAGAAATTAATGAAAAGGATTCTTATCATAAGCTCCCTCTCTAATTTGGGGAAACAGAAACCTCTGCATGTTTTCTCAATAAGCACTCTATCAGAAGCCTTCTTATCCTGACAGGCTTCACTCTTTCATAAACACAGCAAGAATAACCTCTGGACACTGGCCTGCCATAGTCAAGTATGAAAATGTGAATTCCATGGGTCACTGTTTTTGCAGCCGCCAGATGTGGATGAAAGAGGAAGGGTGTTTTATTGTGTTTTCTCAAGAAACAGAGAAAGGTCTGTCCTGAGATGGGCCTACTTTCCTCCCACACAAGTGGCCACCATGTGGCCAGAGGACAGCTAGCTAATTTGCAAGATTAAGCTTTTCCAAATATTTGGAATTGGTCTATTCTGTCTTCAGCTAATAAAATAGATTTTTGCTCCAAAATGGATTTAGGAAGCAGACAGAAGAGCTCCTAAGGGCTTGTTGGCAAGTTACCTGTTAACAGGTCTGTCAAATGGATACACAATGGGTAGGCTACATGTGGACTGTCTCCAACTTGACCTCTCTAGGATGCCTGCCTTCATGCAGCAGTTCTACCAATGGCAGATGGCATCCAGTGCCAACCGATGCTGAAATGCCCAGGATATAAGCTTCTGTTCTCTGTCATTCACTCATGCTTAAGAAGTGAATACATTGAAACAAGCATACATTAGAAAAACACATGCACAAGTGAGGAATCCACATTAATTGCAAATATCTGACCTAATGATTCATTCATTAGTTTAATATTGGGTGTCTACTATGTGCCAGAGACTTTGCCAGGTATTAGGGGAACAGATGAAATAAGACGTGGCCCCTGCCATAAAGGAGCTTATGGTTTATTTGGGGAGACAGAGTTATAAACATCTATAATATAAAGTGCTATAAGCTGCAAAAGAGCTTTGGAGAAGGAGCCCCAGGGTCTGTCTGGAAGAGGCAGGGGAAGTTTATAGTAGAAGTAGGCCTCGCATTGGGTCTTAAAGAATGAGTAGGCAGTTTCCAGTGGGGAAAGTATGTTCAGGACAGAAGCATAGACCCTTTAGAGAGCATTCTGTGTTTGGAGAATGACAGGTTGTTCATGTGGCTGGATTGTGAAGTGGGAGGGAAGGCAGAGGTGGCTTGGGGGAAGACAAGGGCCAAGTCCTCTGGGCATTAGTCATGCTAATTAATTTATATTTGGCTCTGTAGGCAATGAGGGGACACGGTGGAGCACTGAATCATATTAGTGGAAGAACAACATGGTCATGCTACAGTGTAGAAAGTGGTTTAGAGGTGAGTGGGGCAATAAATATTTAGTCCAGAGAGTGAAGTGCAGCTGCCAACAACTAACTATAATACAGGGTAATGAGCTTTAATACAGCGAGCTGGGGCTCTTCCTTTCGCTCCTCAAATCATTCTCTCCACCCTTCACCATGCTCTGTGCCCCAGGGGGGATGACCTGTATGGACTGTTCCGATGGGCTTCCTATCGCTCTGGGTCTAGTTGGGTTCTGCTCATAGAAGCACAAGAGGGAGATGGAAAGGAGAGAGGAGAGTGAAGTCAAGGTATTTATTCCCTTGGGTGCTTCCCTGAGGTGTTACCTTCGGCTGATTTTGTTCCTTGATGGAAGTCATAGCTTCTCTTAAGGTGGCCCTCTCCGCAAAACTCTTTCCTTCTGCATTCCAGTAACCCCTCCTGTCCTTACTCCTTCAGGTGTAGAGATGTTAAAAGCCTTGCTAGCATTTGAGTATGATGCTATTCCTTGTGGTTTCTCTACATTCTGCACACATCTTCCTAAATCATCCTTTATTAAATCCTGTTTGCATTGTCCAAATTTGAGTAGGTTGTCATTTCATGGTGGGGCCCTGACCACTCTGTACAAAGTGGCACAGGAGTAGGGGGCACAGAAAAGTTAGTTCTGCCTGGAGCAGGGAAGAAGGGATCAAGAAGAAGAAGAGGCGGCACTGGAGCTCTGTACTGCAAGATGAGATGGAGTTTCCTAGGCATCAAAAGTATGAAAGGCATCCTGGACTGAAGGAACAGTAAATAAGTGAATGGCAGAGTGAAGGAACAGGGCATTTGTAGGGAGCAGCGACTGAGAGGAGAGGAGGGGCCTGACAAGGGAGGTGAGGTACTACAGGAGATGAAGGGGCAAAGATGAAGTTGAGTCAGAGTGGAAGAGCTTTGAATGCCAGCTTAGGAGTTTGTGCTTTCTTCCAGAGGAAAAGGGGCAAGAATGGTGACCACACTGGGAAATGAGTCATATGAGGAGTGATAGGGGATATGTGCGTGTTTATCTTGGAGAAAAGACTTGGGAGTATGATCGTTGTCTTCAAATATGTGGAGGATCTGGATAACGATATGGCACTATGTATCATGAGTTCATAGTTTTTGGCCTGGGAATTCTATGTCTAGGAATTTAGCTGAAGGAAATAATCCGAAATGCAGACAAAACCTTCTGGCCAAAACCATCCATTGCTGCATTATTTATAATAACCAAGAATTGGAAACAACCTAAATGCCCAGTGACAAAAGAGTTGTTAAATTAATATGGCAGGTCTTTGCAATAGAATATTATGTGGTTGTTAACACAGAATATACAAAAAGTTTAAAGGTGCAGGAACATGCTTTTAATACGTTAAGTGAAAAAATAGGATATAAAATGTCTATATAAAATGATTCAATAATATATAACAATAATATGAACTAAACAAAGATGTCAAAATCTTATTCATAGCTATTGCTGTTGATGACATTGTGGGTGACCAATATTCTCAGGCTGTTCCAAAGATCATTTGTAAATAGGAGTTGGGAGCTCGTAATATCATTAAGATAAGTATACAACTTCCCAAGTGAAAATCATTGAATGGGACCCCTACCATTTAAACATATATTTTATGCTGTTTGTTTATCACCATCATCACCACCACCATTGAATTTATTGAATGGGTACCATCTATTAGGCATCTACTATTTTTTCCTACAGTGTATGTCTCTTTATCCTTTTGACTTTGTAAAGTTTTATTTTTACTTGCATTTATGAGACAAGAAAACCAAAGCTCAGAGAGGTCAAGCAGCTTGTCCAAGATTATTCTACAAGTAAATTTCATAGTTGAGATTTGAACCCAGGACATGTGACTCCAAATTATGAGGCTATACTGCCAGTGCATTACTTTTGTATACTCACATCATTGTCTCCAGTCATATGTCACCGGCTAGAAGTTTTTCACAATAATGAACTCCAGAGGTCAAAATGGTACATCTTCTTGGTAATACCTTATAGATGCTGACTGCATTTTAAGTAGGTGACTCAAGTGGGACAAAGTCCTAGGAGCAGGAGAAAGATTCATAGAAAATGCAGTAATAACTTGTTTAAGAAAAGTGATAAATAATATTGATGAGCTCTTATCATGTGTCAAGCAATATTCTAAGTTTTTTTACATTAACTTTTATAGCACTCTATAAGCTTAGTACTATTACAGTCTTCATTTTACATATGAGGACACTGTGCTTAAATAGTTTGTCCAAGATGACACAGCTAGACAACATATACAGCTCACTACGCTTTCTACCATGCAATACTGCCTCTGGATACTTGTGTAATGAAGTAAAAAAGGAATTTTTAATCTTAATGGCTAGACCCAGAATTTTTTTTTTTTTTTTTTTTTTTTTTTTTTGAGGCAGAGTCTCACGCTCTCTCAGGCTGGAGTGCAGTGGTGCGATCTCGGCTTACTGCAACCTTCACCTCCCAAGTTCAAGCGATTCTCCTGCCTCAGCCTCCTGAGTAGTGGGGATTACAGGCACGTGCCACCAAGCCCAGCCTTATCTTTCTTTATTAAAATACGTCGATAGGCCGGGAGTGGTGGCTCACACCTGTAATCCCAGCACTTTGGGAGGCCAAAGTGGGCGCATCACCTGAGGTCAGGAGTTTGAGACCAGCCTGACCAACATGGAGAAACCCCTTCTCTACTAAAAATACAAAATTAGCCGGGCGTGGTGGCGCATGCCTGTAATCCCAGCTACTGGGGTGGCTGAGGCAGGAGAATCGCGTGAACCCGGGAGGCTGAGGTTGCGGTGAGCTGAGATCGTGCCATTGAACTCCAGCCTGGGCAACAAGAGTGAAACTTCGTCTCAAAAAAACAAAACAAAACAAAACAAAACCCTCAATAAACTATTTTGGAATAAAAGTTTTAGCAAGAGCTTCAGCAACAAAAGAACAGTCAAGCTTCTCTGCCTGAGAAAGTGAGAGGAGTTTGTTTTTCTCTCTAGAAAAGGAGAAGGGAGGGAGAGGTGCAGAGATTGCAGCATGGGTGGGAAAGCCAGCAAGCAGGAGCAAGGGGCAGAAATGGAATGCAGGGAGGCAAAGGGCATGAGAGAGCAGGTTACACCTTCACTTCAATTTGAAGTTATTTGTGTCTTAAATGTAAATTTCTCCCTCCAAAATGTCAGTAAGTACTACTATGCTCGCAAACAATGTATGATTATGTTGTTGTTTTTGTTATTGGAAATTGAAGAAGGGCCTGAATTTTATATCTGGCTCAACACCGTGTGAAACAAGGTCCACAAATTTAAACTGGGATCCTAGAACCATATACATACTATCAAGAAATGCCCCTGGAATTTGCAGAAACGTGTGTGTCTATGTGTGTGTGTGTATGTGTGTGTATGTGTGTGTGTGTTTGTGTAGGGGTGTGTTTAGACTTTCAGTGTCTGGAACTGGGGGCTCCAGGAAATCTTTTTTAGATGTCTCAAGGAACAGAGGCCACAGCCAACACCTGAGTTACCTACTTCATCTGGTTTAAATCTCCTGACCATCCTGTAATCTCTCACTCCGGTCATTCTTTTTTCAAAAGAAATAAACTGTGTTCAGAGAAAGTACAGAACTTCTTCAGGTCCACAAGGAAAAGGAAGTGCTGGGATTCAAAGCTAGGCTGGTCCAATGGATTACAAAGCCCGTGGCTTCCCGGGACCCTGGCTGCCTCCTCTGTCTTGGTTTTGCTTTACTGTTGAACCTCTCGAGGAGACACTGCAACTTCAGTGGCGGGCATTCTGTATCTCTGGGTATTGGGATGGTCCAGGTCTTAGTCCATAGGCCAGGCCTTAACACTAAGTCAGCAACCAGGGGTGGACCTCCTCATTTGGTTATACAGAAGAGCAGATGACCCTAGGCCCCTGTGAGGGCTAATTTGGGAGAGCAACAGGTTATTGGTAAAGATTTTTAAAGTAATAGTTTCCCAGTCTTACAAATGTAAAAGACACATTTTCCCAGTTTTAGACCTGCAAATTCTTATTAAGAGGTGCTCAGCCTTATAACTGAATTTTCATAATTTTCAAATATTTTTAAAATTGAAAATGAATACTTGTTGAACATTTGAGAAATACAAAAAGGAATAAAAGAGACAAAATCTTAGGAATTTTAGCATGACATTAGCAGTAAAAAAATACCTTTGACAATTTGGTTCATAAAAACCATCACTTATTGTTTTAATTTGCATTGCCTTGAATACTCAGGGAGACTCCCACACCTTACCATACATCAATTGACAATTTGTTTCTTCTTTCATAAATTGCTTTTTTATTCCTTTGGCCCCTCTTTTTCTGGATAAAATTTTTGTTTATATTGAAAATAGAGTTCTCTTACAAGCCATGAAAAGAGGCGATTGTCCAAATATCTTAGCACTTCACCTATATAATAACTGTCTTTCTTTGGCTTCCCCATGTATAAAGATGAGGGGGAAGTGAGTTAGCATAATCATGATAGAGAGCAGTATTTCCCAAATTGTGTTTTCTGGAACAATAATTCAAGGGCAAGTTAGTGGGTGTAATGGGGAAAAGGGCTCAAATGAGTTGGAAAATGCTTTATTAAATAAAAATAAATTGTTTCCCAATTGCAGTAAAACTATAGAATATGCTACAGGCTTTTATTGTTCATAGGGACCAAGACTTCTCTAGAAAGGGGTAGAAGATAACATTTCCCACTCAGCGTCTCAGGCACTTTGGACAGCCCTGGTATGGAGGAAAGAATGTAGGAGAGGATGGTGGCCAAAGGCCTGTTTTTCTCTAGGTTTGACACTGATATGTTTTATGACTGTAGGCAAATTCCAACATCCAATCACTGGTAAAATAAACAAGGATATGTTTGAGATGAGGCTTGAAGTATGCACAGGGTTTTGATAGGAGAAAAGAGGTTTCAGGTGGAGGCAATTGAATGGGCAAAGTCCAAGATGCTTTTCTACCCAGAGTGATACCAAACCAAATACTGTAATTCTGGCCCCTGTTTTGTAACGACTCCACCCTTTGAGTAGAAAACAGATGTTTTTTCTTCTGAGACACAGTTTCACCAAGTCCCAAGTTTTTTTCAGTTCTGTTTCAATGCTCAGAAACCCACCTGCCTTTCCCGAAGTGTTCCTGCCCACCTAGATAGACCACATCATAAAAATTCATATTTGAAATAAGAAACCTCACTGCTTCAGTCACTTTGACAGCCAGACTTTGGGCTTATGGAGAAATTACAGATGAATGTCTTTAAAATCCAGTGAAAGACTTTTATGATCCATTACTTGAATAGCAGGTCTAGAATTTTTATACATGGTTTATTTATACAAATTGTATAAAATGTCCATGCAAACTCATTAGAAAAGTATCTGTTTTATTAAGGTGGGGTGGGGGGAAGCATGAACCAGAAGATTATTTGGATTGCTAATTGTGAAATAAGTTACTCATTTTTAGAAAAATTTTGAATTTGCAGTCATTGTATTACATGTATAATGTAATACATTTCAATTCACTCAAATTTCCCGAACATCTCTTTTGCATCTGGCACAGTGCTGGAGCATTCTTGCTATCCAGGAGCTCACAGTTTGTGGGAAGATAGACTAGAACACAGCTAAAAATAAACATGCAGTGCCCCCAAAGCTATGTTAGTGTTCACAACAAAAAAATCCTACAGATCCCAGAGAAAAGAGTGACTGTCTTGCTTGGGGAGATACAGACAATTCCACAGAGAAAATATTTAAGCTGCCTCATAAAGCTGAATAGGATTTTCTCGTTAAAAGGAAGGACATAAAGGTATTCCTTACTTCAGGAAGCCTTCCCTGATCTCCATAACCAAGTCAACTTTTTCTACCATTACTCTCATAAACAATGTTCCTCCCCAGTGAAGCATGTACCATCTCTGAAGTTCCCATTTCTTTGTACCATTTCCTAGTTCATGTCTGTTTAGTTTATCCAGTTAATGTTAGACCTTACGTCCAATGAGGGCAGGGGCCATATCCTTCTTTTTACCCTAACCAGAACTCAGGTCAGAGAAGGAGCTCAGCAAATGTTGAATGGACAAACAGCATGAAAAAGACAAAGAAACAGGAGATAAGGGCACTTTAGGGGAACACAGAGCAAGTTATTCAACACATCTGGAGTAGGATGCAGAATGGGACCTGGAATTGGCAAAAATTTGAGCAAAAATGTGCTAGCTCTTAGCTACCAATTTTGAACCAGAGGGAAGTGAAAGTTAGCTAAGCAGCATTTCTAAATGGCCAGGTTGACTCTTTCCGACACCCTGAGTCCATCTGTGGTTTCCTACGTCCTGTCTTGCGGTTGAAGTCCTTGTCTACTCTAAGTCTGCAGGTGGACAGACCTTTGAGCATTTTTGGTTTTTTAAATAACTCCTTTTAGTTCAAAGACATTTTATTCTGTCTACTCATTCAAAGTAAAGAGGAGCTTTGGGGATAACAAAATCCTTCTGAACCTTCCAAGTGAGGTTCATGTTCTGCCTCATGGAGTTCTTGAGCCTCAGAGCTAGAAGGGACACTAGGAAGCTGAAGAAATTGAGGCTCAGATTGAGGAAGGGACTTGTTGAGAGCCACACAGCTAGGAAGGAGCCAAGCTAGGTTTAGACCCCAGGTGTGTCTGACTCCACTCCATCTCATCATCCACCACTTTTCTGAAACTGCTTGTCTTTCATTCAGCAAACTTCTGCATTTCCAGGCTTCCTGCCCCAGAAATGTTTCCTGTTTCACCTCCAAAGCCATTAGCAGGCCTTAGGCCCCTGCTTAACATCTGGCACTTGACAAGGATGTTCCCTGCTTCCCCATCTCTGCAGGGTGCTGAAGGGGTGGGTCATGAGTTGTGCCTTGATTCCATACAGCCAAGCAGAGTGCAAATAAACAAGAAGGGAGAGCACATGTGTGAATGGAGAGTGGATGGCATGTCCTTCTCTTTGCGTGGCTGTCTGCAAGACAGCCTTCAGTGGCTTCTTTCTGTAGCTGCCTCAGACTTTTGCCTTAGCAGGGGTTCCTTGAGACTAGGCCACTATCTGTGCCTTAAATATGGACCCCTCCTAAATCCTGTCTCTCCTCTCCTATAATACAGAACTGTGTGTGCTTCCCATAGTGTGCCATGTTCCATCATACTGCCAGGTTTTCCATTTCGTCATCTCTCTTGTTAGGAATTCTCTCTACTGATTTTTGGGCCTTTAAGAAAGTTCAGTTTAAGAGTTACTTCCTCTGAGAAGCAGCCTTAATTCCTCCAAACTTGAGGGCTTCTTTACCCATTTTTATTCTGCACTTTCAACTCTTTGTAATTCCATCATTGCATCTATCTTTTTGGATTATACTATACATCTCCCCCATCAAAAATATAATAGCTACCATTAATAACTATAATTTGTTAAGCACTGACAATGTGCTGGGAAATGCATGAAGAATTTCACTCATGTTATCATAGTTAATCTTTGCCATAACCTTGTAAATTTGATGCCTTAATTTGAATTTCCCTCAAATTGAAGGTTGATACAAGGATTTAGGAACCGGTACAGGGGATCTCAAGAAGCAGGAGTGAGGGACAGGGAGAGGGAGACGGGGGAGAAGGAAAAGATAAAATAAGTTTGTTTTGTTTTTGAGGTCACTGCTGTAGGCAATGGGTGTTAAATTCTGTCTCCTAGGAGAGTGGGAGGCTGGTGCATTCACTCATCAGCCACCATGCCCTGTTGATCAGGAGCTGTCCTGAGGGCTGGGAGTTGTTAATGCCCCTGCACTTCTGGGCTGAACTTACCTACACAAGTCAAGCAGATTATGGCAACACTGGAGAAAGTCCTGGGACAGAATGCTGAAAGATGGGAGCTACTTGCTTGATATGGGAAGCTGATAGTACAAGGTGATTCTGAGCTGGCATGGAAATATCTATCACAGCTGCGGCTGGAACAAGGTGTAGGTCAACAGGATGTGATGAAGGTGCCATAGCAGATAGCCTCTGCCATAACAGATAGCCGCATTTTACACGTGAGGGAACCAATGTCTCTGACTCTGAAGCTTGGGCTCTTTAGTAGTACAGTAGATTCTAAGTGCCCAGAGGGTGAGAATCATGTCTCCTTAGTCTCTGCAGCTTTAATGACTAGCAAAGCCCTGGCACATTCTGGGTCCTTAGAAGATGATGGCTGAATAAATGAATGAGTTGCCAAAGTGGTAATTTGAGGCTTTTTAGGGTTGATTCTTACCTTAAACATTCATCCAACTTATGATAAGCAACCTAAGAAGCTTGTAGCCAATCAGGAAAGGCAGATAGTAAATGAGTATGTTTTAAAAATCTGATGAGTGTTTTAAAAGTAGAACTCTGTGTTATGGGAGCATGAGGTTGGAGGGCTTATCTAGTTTGTGGCTCAGGAAGGCCTTTTTGAGGAAATGAAATTTAAGCCAATACTTGAAGAATAAATAAGAAATGGAGGATGGGTGGGAGGAGGAAAAGCACATTGAGAATGCCTGGTGGCGTGGAGAGGTTGTGGAGCTAAGAGGAGATCAATAGAGCTCTTGTATGGTGGGGAGGGCCTAGTTGTGATAACTAAGGCTGGAGAAGTAGATGGGGCTAGATGACGGAGGACTTCTTTGTAAGCCAAGTTAGAAAAGAGCATTCTGGCTATGGTAAGAAAAAGGTATTGGAGGGAAGTGAGCATGGAAGTGGGAAGACCAGTTAGGAGATGGTAGCTGATGTCCAGAGGAAAAATGATGGCAGCTTAGTTTCATGTCTAGGGGTGGTAAGGATTGGAGAGGTTGGTGAATTCTGGAGATATGTATGGAGTTGAGTGATTAGGAATTGTGATCCACTGGAGGGAGGGGAAGAGACAGTCATGTCAAAGATGAGTTCTAGGATTCTGGCTGGAGCAAACAGATAGGTGGTAAGTGGTGGTGTCATTCCCTGTGATCGGGAGTATAAGAGGACAAGGTTGTCAGTGGAAGGTGGTAGGATCCATTGTAATCGTGATGAACTTGAGAGGCCTATGGATCAATGGCCAATACACAGGCCTGAGGGTTAAGTGTCAGGACTAGAGTTAGGCAAGCAGGCACACAGGGACCAAAATTTAAGGAGGCACTCACTCTCAGGGTCCTGTAAGCACAGGTTAGCATGTGAGAATGAGTGTCTCCCTAAATATTGTACCCTGGGGGCCTTGCTTACCTCACTGTAGTCCCAGCTCCATAGGAGGTAAAGGAGAGAGGTTCTGGTTGGAATTATAAGTTGGGACGATAGCAGCATCAGTGATGGAGTGGACATTTGCCATTGTTTAGCTTCCCAGCATTGATTTCTACTTCCTAACAGCACTCAATTTCATTGGGGAAATTTCATTAGCTTACACCATTGTGTGTCTTGGTAGGACATTGTGTGGGAAATAGGTGCCTTGCCTCCCGCAGTAGAAACCTGAGAGGGCCCTGGAAGGACACACTGAATATCAGAGCTTGAATCTAAAGTCCATTGTTGTACTCAGTGTAAATTTTGATATAATGGTTCTAGCTCAACAGTTAATCAAGACATTCAAAGAAGAAAATGAACAACTATGGGCCATTTCAGTTTGCTGGCCATCATTCTGTCTTCTGGTCTCCCTACTGCCATTTTTAAATGCAATATTTCAATATATTTTTCAATAGAAGAAAATGTCACCCTTTTCTAAGAGTGTGATATGTGAGGATTTGAGGTCTGTACCCACTACAGCAATTTTTCTTACTATCAGTGAAGCCCCTGAAGCAATTTTTGGTCTGGGATTATGGTAGGCTGGGGCCATACAGAGCAGTTGGGGGACGAGAACATGCAGAGTCTTGGAATAAGGCAGACACCATAGAAGGCAGACCAGAGACAATGAAAGAAATTGCATCTTTGGTGGCATTGTTGGAAACTTCTGGATCAAGTCCACTGGAAAGAATTGTGTTAGTAAGTTAGAGACTATGCTGCTATAACAGACTCCTCAATAAAGGGACTTAAATGTGATAGAAGTTCATGTCTTTGTTAACATAACAGTCCAGAAGTCTGCCATCTGCAACACATGGCTTGGCATCTGTAGGTTCATAGTGATTGTCCCAGCTGACCCATTTCTCAGCCAATGGGAAGAGCAAAAGAAGAACTGGAAAGCTATCAGCTTCCCTCTTAAAGACAGTGGCTTGAGAATTGCACTTATCTCTTTAATTTAAATTCCACAGCATGGTCACACCTAGATGCAGGGCAGGCTAGGAAAGGTAGACTCTGGAGTGTGTATGAAAGAGATGAGTACAGCATTTGGGTCTTTGGAGACATGAGGATCTATTACAAAAGGAAAGAAAAGGAGTCAAGCTTTTGAGGGTATTGATCAGTTTTTGTCAAACCAATAAATTATTTTTTTCTTCCTTCAATCCAGCTGGAGTTTGGGTTTCTGTTCTTAGCAATGAAAATTCCCCCAATATGAGACAGGATTTGTTACTGAGCCTTTGCTCTTCCTATCATACTGCCTCTCTATCATCGCTAAGGGACAGTCCAATGCTGTGCTTATTTGAATGCAATCAAATTTAATTTGTTAAGGAAAAAAGAAGGAGGGAAATAGCCTGGGATTATACTACATGCCAGCTACTATTCTACAATGTTTATATATGTGATATCCTTTAATTGTCAACATAACTCTTTGCTTTATTTATCTCTGGGTTGCAGGTGAGAAAAATGAGGTGGAGAAGGGTTTATACAGGTGGTACAATAGTTAATAGAGCTGTGATTCAATCCCTGTCTGTCTGATTTTATAGCCCCTTTTTGTGTACTCCATCCCCACTGTGTCATTGTGGTATTGAGGTGCGTGATGGCATAAGAATTAATGGGGACATGGAGGGAAAGATTGGCAGTAGGGAGATAATGATAAGAGCACAGGGAACCGTAGGGCTAGGTGTCACATGTGTGTGTATGTGTATGTCTCTGTGTGGTCATCCACAGAGGTGAGAAGGCAATCAGGAGCCAGATATGTGCTGATGGGACTGGTGAGAGATCATCCCACAGTCATCACTATTCCAAGTCCCCTTCTTTGTCAATGGCACTCTCAACTCTTCCTTGACAGGAATTTACTTGATTGGGTGTTTACTTGAATGAGGTGGACTGCAGACCTAGAGCCTTCTTTGCTCTGGCAAGCTTGGGGAGGCTGGTTGCAAAATGACTGCATTACACAAAGGTCTGGGATTTAGTGCAGAAAGTCATTTGAGGCCCATCCTGGCTGAAAGTGCCATTGGGAAGCTGTTACATAAGCAGAGAAAGCAGCAGCTGGAAGTGCAGGGCATTGAGCAGGGGCGGAAGAAGGGTGGGGAGGCAGTTTGTTAGTGAGATGAATTTCCAGGAAGGAAAGCCCACCCTCCACCACCCAGGCTGCATTAGGGCTGCCGCAGGACGGCTCATTCCTGAGAAAACCCTCTCTTAAGAATTCTATTGTCTGATCTTCAGGAATGCAAGGAAACTTGTTCCTTAGTGGGCACAATGAGAACACCAGCAGCCAAGGGAGGAAGCGAGGAGTCCTTGAATTCTCTAAGAACCTACTGCAGACTGCCTTTTGGCAAGTGTTCATGGAGCTGTGCTCTAGGAGGAGTTCCTGGTCGAGCAGTCTGGCCTGGGAATGGTGGTGAAGCACCAGCCCTGTCTTCTTGCATCCTGACTTATAACTGGGAGTCTCCAGTCTTCCTTCTGCCACAGCCCAGTGTGCCTTGTTTCGAGCCAGGCAAAATGGCTCACCATCCCTGAAGAAACAGCCCACTTACACTGTCCCAGGTTCACTGTCACACCCTTTCTTTCTCTACATATCTGCGCATCCTTCAAAGGCCTGATCAAATGTCACTTCTTTGGGGAAGCCTGCCATCATGGATACCTACTTTTTGCTGAGCTCATATTACTTTTACCTGCATACCTTCACACCTAACTTATCATCATACGTTTTATAGGTGCCCAGTAAATATATGTTGGTAAAATGAATAGTCCTGATGTACTTTAATGTTATTTTGGATAAAAGTCATACATTAAATAAACAAATAGGATTTCGCTGTATAGGTTTCTGGATGAAATTCACAAGAACTTTGTTGAACTTTGTGTTTTATTTTTTTAGTTCATGGTGTATGGGTTAACCTGCATTCAAATGACATGGTAAATGAATCACATGTCACTCACTCATTTCTGACTGTGTGTTCCTCAGGACGGCCACTCTCTTGATTTCCATCTCTAAATACGGGTTTGGAAACAGGTGACGCTAAAGCTTCTTCTAGCTGAAAAATGTTATGTCCCAGGTCTGAAATATTTAAACTGTGACCTCCCAGAAACATTTGCATTTTAAAGGGCTCACTTAATTAGAGGCAAGAAGCCTTAGGGGTGGGACTTTAGTGGAGGATGACATAGCAAGCAGAGTTCCAAAGGCAAAGATTCAAAGAACTTTCTCCAGAATGACAAGGTAAAGATCTTCTATTCAGCTTCCCTCGAGTATCCTTATTTGACTTGGTATGAATGTACCTATCCTTTTAAAAATGTAACCAAGGAAAAGACATGGAGACTACTTAAATGCATGTTACTAAGTGAAAGAAGCCAGCCTGAAAAGATTACACCTGGTACAATTCCAACTATATGATTTTCTAGTAAAGGCAAAACTGTAGGGACAATAAAGAGATCAGTGGTTGCCAGGGATTCAAGGAGAGGGAGGGATGATTAGGCAGAGCACAGGATTTTAAGGACAGTGAAACTACTCTGTAGAGTATCATAATGGTGGGTACATATCATTATACATTTGTCCAAGCCCATAGAATGCACAACACTAAGAGTGAACCCTAATGTAAACTACAGATTTTAGTTAATAGCAATGTGTCAATATTAGCTCACCAATTATAACAAACCCACTACAATAATGCAAGATGCTAATAAAAGGGCAAATTATGTGTGAAAGGAAAGAGGTCTGCAGTAATTCTTTGTAGTTTTTGCTATATTTTTCAGTAAACCTAAAACTCCTCAAAAAATAAAGTTTATTAATAAAAAATGAACCACACATCTTCTTAGTCATAGCTAACATTTATATAGCACTTACCACATACCATTCACTGTTCTAAGCACTTTGCACATATTAATTCATTGGAAAAAATTCTCACATCAAACTTGTGAACTATGTATTATTGTCGTCTTATTTTATAGAGGAGAAAATGGAAGCACAGTGGGGTTAAGTGAGTTTGCACCATGCTACACTACACTCTTTCAATCTGTACCATACCATATGCCATATGGTGTACTTTATATGCCCAGGTGTCACCTCTTCCAGGAAGCCTTTCAGACCTGCCACAGGCAGGGGTAGGTAACACCTCTCTATGCTTTTATAACATCCTGGCCCAACTCTGCAGACATATTCCATTTAGCATCTATTTGTTGAATGTGTATTAAGGGATTTCTAAAGAAGTGTTTGGCACATGTTTTGTTGAATCCCAGAGAAGCTAAGAACTTCCACTAAACTGACAACCCATAACTGTTCACAGAAAGGCAGCAGGTGAGTGAGTTTGCTGTGGCATGCTCTGTGCACATTTATGCCATCTCCTGGTCACTTCTGCTTCCTTCTCTGATATCCTCAGACCTCCCCTTTGATCACCTCATCTGCATCATTGCTTGGTCCCAATGTCAAAGCCACTGTTGAAGTTTGCTGTGTCTACTACTTTTTTCTCATTTTTGGAAATGAAAATAATGTTGGTTAAGTTCCTATCCTTTCGTGATGTTCTCACTCTTTGTGTGTCCTCAAAGCCCCGTTTTTGGGATGGAGTTCAATACCAGCCAAGGAATGAGAACTCAATTAGAAAAATGAAGCGTTCACTTATAGTACCCCAATCTCCCGGAGACGATTTTCCTGGCCAGAGAAGAAAAAGCAGTGGGGCGATTCAATTTCCCCTCACCATTTCCTAAGCATTACACCATTGGTCCCAATCAGTAGGCCACCTTCATATTCCCAATTCACCCTGATTCTTCTATTCACAATAATTGGACTGTGGAGATATGGGTAAGTGTGGTCTGAATTATTCAACTTGACAAATAGGTTCCTGGGAAGAAGCTGTGGTTTGACTGGGACTCTGGAAGGTGGGTTAGGGCTAGGGTCTCACTGAGGACTGTACATTGCAAAGCATGGAGCCGAAGGACGTCTGAAAACTGTGCGGTGTAGAAAGTTGGAAGTGAGTGGAACAGCCAGCCCTCCCCACATAACCTGGCTCTGCTGCAGTCACGTCTCACCCCACTCACTCCACATCCTCTGGGACCCAGTTACCTTGAGCTCCCTTTATGCCCCTTGCTCCCTGCTCTCCCTTCCCTTGGCTAACTCAGCTTCTGTCCAGTCTCAGCTGAAAGGCCAGTGTCTCCAAAGATCCTCTTCAAAGATTCTCTAAAATTCCTCTTACAGGTTAGAGTGCTGGCTATATTTCCTCATGGGGTCCTGCCTTCCCCTAGCAATGCACTTGTTACACTTAGTAGTCATGAGTATAAGCCATGGTTTGACTTCCTTATTAGTTTATAAGCTGCATAAAGGAGAGAGAATGGCTGTGTCTTGCTTGTCATTTTATCCTTCACTGTAGTGCCTGAAACAGGAGAAGCACTCATTAAATATCTGTTGAATAAATGAATGAACTCTAGAGCACCACTCTAAAGTGAGTGTAAACAAAGATAGCCACTCCATACAAAGTCACAGGCCAGAAGACACTGTCAGTAGGGCAGCAGCAATAGCCTATGCATTTGTTAGTTTCTATGCCCCGAAATGTGTGTTTAATAAATGAAAGAGTATTGATTTCACTGTGCTTGGCGTTTGAACCACCATATCCCCCCAAATTAAGTAAACCTCTAATGGAGTAAAACACTTTCTCCCCAAGAATCAGAATGGCCTCTGCTAATAAATTTTGGCAAGTGCTGGATCACAGATAAAAAATTAGAGTTTTCCCCGCTTCAAAGCACTTCCTTGAGGATGCACTGAATCACAGTGAATGGTCAATTGAACCACTAGCAGGCCCATTAGAAAGTGGGTTGTCAGAGACTCGTATTACGTAGGATTAATATTAGGCATCTCTGTCTCAGCCCAGTGAAAGGCCTCAAGTGTCCTTGGAATTTCAGCGACCTTTTCCCATCAATGATGACATTGTTCTCCAGGCTCGATGGCTTAATTCATAGGAAATGCAACACACTCCTCATCATGATTGCCCACCACATCTGGGATGGGGTCTGGGGGCCTGGGAATACTGAGCTTCAGACACAAAAATGTTACATTTCCCTTGCATAAACTTCCCAGGCTTTGGGAGCTCCTGAGTGTTTTTTTTCTGAATATCTCGACAATCTTCCCAGGGGTCTTAGCTGAGAATTAGGAGGCAATTGCACAAGTTCTAGGAGCCTAGCAGGTCTTAAACCTGTCATCAGCAGGCTCCTCTGATCCAACAGGGTGTAGCTGCAGTTGACAAAATCACCTAGAAGTTAGGCAATATTAGTAGGATCCAAAGCCCATAGATACCATTTTCATTTGGGGAAATCACAATATCACTAATGGGTTGTTGGCATGTTTGTTTCTAAATCTTCTTTATACCCTTAAGAGTTGGCTATTGGTTAGCTTTCATTTTACAGATGAGGGGGCTGGGGTTCAGGATGCACAGCAATTAAATGGATTGCTGGGATTCAAATGTAGGTCTGCCTGATTTCAAACAGCAGAGTGAGTGGTGATGGTACCTATTGAACGCCTAGTTGTATTACACAATGTACTAGGGGTTTTAGATTCTTTTTCTTGTGTATTTCTCATTGCAACCTTGTGATGCAGAAACTGAAGCTAAGACAAGTTTGTTACTTTTGTTATGGTGCAATGCAGCATTACTAGGCAAAATTGGCAGCCAAAGCAGGGAAAATGAGTGACTGGGTGGTGCAGAATGAGTGATCTGTAGGCTGGTGAGAGGAAGGCCTAGGTTGGAGAGGGAGTGAGGGCAGTCTGTAAAAGCAAGGATGGGTCTTATTTAAGGTGAGTCTTCTGCCTGGAGAGTGACTGGCACTCAGAATATGTCTTCTGAATAGATGTGTGAATGCTAGCAGGAGGCTGGTGGGCAGGGAAGGTCCTGGAGGATCCAGTGGGGTCTAACAGAGAGTCTTCATTTGGCCACACTTTAATCAGTCTTCTAAACCTTCTCCTAGGCCTATCTGTGCTCTTTGTTATAAAATCTAGTTTTAGCAAGAATGCTACTAAGTCAGTTTTGAAAGAACTCCCTGCCCTCAATACCTGATCCCTCTTGATATCTGGTAGGTTCCTCATCCTGCACCACCAGGTGATGACTAACCACTGTAGTCTATCTTCAGCAAGAATCCTGTTAGGTCAGTTTTGCCAGAAATCCCCCTTACCCTTGATGTTTCTGCTTAGCAATTTTCCATCTTAGCAATTTTCCATCAGGTGGCATGACTGCCACCCTGCTTTCTGGCTATAAATTCCCACTTGCCCCTGCTGTATTAGGAGTTGAGCCCAATCTCTCTACCCTACTGCAACCTCCCATTGCAGTGGTCCCTCTATGCGTATGGTAATTGTCCTGGATAAAGTCTGCCTTACCAATCTTTAACAAGTATCACTGAATAACTTTTCTTTAACAGGCCTTAAAGCATTAGTTTTGAGAGTGAGCTGCTAGGAATTGAGATCCTAGAGTGGAATGGTGGACTTTAAGGGTCTTAGAGGGGGAGACATTTGCAATGATGACAAGAACCAATGTGGGGTCATGAGCCGGGCAGCTGCAGAGACATGTGGCAATGGCCCCTGGCACTGAGGAGCAAGAGGCTAAAGAGGGCATAGCCTGGGGTGACTCCTTCCACTCATTTCCTGAGTATTTCACACTCTTCTGGGTGGTTGGTGTACACAGGGGTAGGATGGATGTGAATCCTCACTTTAAAGAGCCAAGTGTCAGGTTTCTCCAAAGCTCAGTTTCCAAAAGGGAGACAAGGCTGTAAACATCTTTATATCAAGGTCCGCTTTGCTCCTGTAATGTTAGTGCTGCCTGTGGTGTGTAACCAGGAAGCTCAGATGTGGGTGGTGGTGCCTCCCACTGTGGCTTTCTCTGGATTCAGTGGAAGGTAAAGACAGAGTTAGTTCATAAGTACATTTTCTTTTTCATCCAGGCTCTGCCTTTACCCAATCAGCTCTGGCTTCCTGCAGCACAGATCTGGGCTGTAATAGATCTGGCCTTATTTTATTTTTTATTAAGTTCATGAACTTTAGAGGAAGGAACTTGAAAAAAATGGTCTCATTACCTCAGGAATGAAGGCTCAAACTTCTTTTAATGCCAGACGTTGGCGTGGTCTTGCTTGTTATAGCCACAAATAATCCTGGTGGAAAATTGCAACAGAGTGGCCAGGCACAAACAGGATGGCTTCTTGGGGTGAAGCAGGTGGGGTGGAGGAAGTGGAGGTCAGTGAAGGGTCAACCTAAAATGGAAAAGATCCTGAAGTTGAGGCTTGTAGATTTCAACTATGGCTAGCCATTCGTATAGATTGGCTGTGGGAGGGCCAAATCTACCATTGACCCTTCCAGATGCTAGGATTCTGGGAAGAGCTTGGGCCTGGATTCAGATGGACCTGATTCAAATTCCCATGCGGCTACTTATTATAAGGTACATGACAGTTTACAATTTTTCCGAACCCCTTGTGCTTCAGTTTTCCATGTCTGTAAAATGCAGAAACTATCTACCTTGCAGGATTGTTAAGGGGATTAGAGGAGAACATAGGAAAGTTGTCAGGCTCTGGGTCTATAGACGAAAATGTGGTACAAGCAACATTCTTTAGTAAAAGATCTCCTTGCATAACCCAGGGCAACAGTTCCCACGGTTTAATTGTTAACTGACCAGGAGGCTGACCACGGTGCTGGAATCTCCCTCCTCTGCAAAGGGTTGTTGGAGGAGTGCTGAACATCAGGGCCCAAAGATCATTGTTTGCCAAAATTCTCTGATGATGAGAATCTCCTGAGGGTGTTTGTTAAATATTACAAGTTTCTGGCTTCATCCCAGACCCATTGAATAAGAAGCTCTAGGAGGACCAGGAACCTGTGTTTTTAATAAGAGGCCCTGATAATTCCTATCATCAGGGAATTTGGGGAAACACAGTTATTGCTTACTGCACTTCTGAATGATTGGTGTTAGGAAGCTAGTTTTTGTCTCTGTGTGAGTAAAATACATATTTTTGACACAGATGACCTCCAAGGTTTGGATTTATTAAATTTCTTAAACCTTGTATTTGACTGAATTTAGGGGAAGAATGCATCATGTTTTTAGGGGAAAGACACTCTGTCATTGCTCCCTGCCTTTGCCGTTGCTGTTCTTCCTGCTTGAAATTCTCCACCTGTCTCGTCTACCTGGCAGTTCTTGCTCCTTCTTCAACAGCCGGATCAAGACATTTCCTCTGCAAACCTTTCATGATTCTTGCTTCTTCCTCTATGTTCCCTTTGTGACTTTGTGATATGACAAGTGATTATAAGATGAACCATTTCATATTATGTGTTTGTTTTTGTGTTTCTTCCCACACTAGCTTATACTTATAGGGGTCAAAAAGAGTCACAGTACCTATATTTGAATCTTATGAGTCAGGTCCGGCAAAACACTTGAATAGAGAGTTGAAAGAGTAAGCGTCGTCCGGATTAAAATAAAAAAGGTGATTCCCAGTGAACAGCAGGTGCAAAAGTGTGGATGTCAAAGAAAAACAGTTTCTTTTCCCCCATCTTGAACCATTTTTAATGAGAAAAATCTTTTTTTTTTTTTGAGATGGGATCTCGCTCTATCACCCAGGCTAGAGTGTAGTGGCATAATTATAGCTCACTGCAGCCTCAACCTCCTGGGGTCAAGCAATCCTCCCACCTCAGTCTCTGAAGTAGCTTGGACCACAGGTGTGTGCCACTACGCCTGGCTAATTTTTTAATTTTTTGTAGAGATGGGGTTTTGCCATGTTGCCCAGGCTGGTCTCAAACTCCTGGGCTCAAGTAATCCTCTTGCCTTGGCCTCTCAAAATGCTGGGATTACAGGCATGAGTCACTGCACCTGACTTGAGAAAATCATTTTTGCAATGATAACTTTTGAGGTCTTGAACATTTTTTAGTAAGGCCATGATTGGTAGTTTTTCATTACGATTTAGTTACAAAGGCCAGAAAAGGGACTATTCTAATTCTGAAAATAATGTTTTTAATTGTTAAAATTAAAAACAGCCCAAATTAGTCCTTAAATAACCCATACACTGGATGGCTTTGCAAAGTGTGATATGATTCTGAAAGTGTGTGAAAGGCTTTGGCTTCGGACATACCTGGTCACATCATGTCTTTTCTCCCTCTCACTGGGTGGCCTTGAGCAAGTTACTTAGATTCGTTATGCCTCAGTTTTCCATGTGTAAAATAGAAAATGAACATCCTTCTGCTTTCCTTCTATCCTTTCAAAATTGAAAGAGGAAATTAAAAAATAAAAATAATAAAGATTTTTAAATAACCCTGATAGGCTGGAGCACTGGACTAACACTACTTAGATAAAATTTTAAAAAGATAAATATTGGCTGGGCGTGGTGGCTCATGCCTGTAATCCTAGAACTTTGGGAGGCCGAGGCAGGCGGATCATGAGGTCAGGAGATCGAGACCAGCCTGGCTAACATGGTGAAACCCCGTCTCTACTAAAAATATAAAAATTAGCTGGGTGTGGTAGTGCGGGCCTGTAATCCCAGCTACCTGGGAGGCTGAGGCAGGAGAATGGCTTGAACTCAGGAGGTAGAGATTGCAGTGAGCCGAGATCGCGCCACTGTACTCTAGCCTGGGTGACAGAGTGAGACTCTGTCTCAAAAAATAATAATGATAAAATAAATATATAAATATTAAGTCTGGAATTCACATACATAATAGAAATACTGGCTTGAAGTGAATTAATTTGGTAGCAGCTCATGTCAGAAGCACTCTCCAAAATTATTAGAAATTAAGTTCAATCACTCCAATGGGTTAATGGGACACTAAAAAGGTACTTTTTCCTCTGGCATTATAACTAGATTGGTAAGAAATTTGATGTGTGATGTGATGTGTTATCAGGGAAAGGCAGGTGGGAACCCTCATGCACTGCTGTGGGGAGTAGTGCAGTCGTTCTGGAGAACGGTCTGGTACTACTAAACAGGTGAATTTGTGTATGCCCATCACTCATCAGTCTCACCCTTGGTTTGTGGCAAATTTTACAAATTAGTTCACCCAACTTCCTTCTCCCTCACCATAGAACATGGTTTCCTGCACACTAGGGGACGCAAAGGTAAAAATCAATATTTTCCAGATGTCTTTATTGCTCAGGGTCCATTTATTGAATTTTACCCTTTTATCCCCTAGTGTGCAGGAAACCGTGTTCTAAGGTTGTACAAAGCATGCATGTGATGTTTGGAAAGTGCAAGTGATTATCATGAGGCGGAGACCTTGCCTTTGCTGCTTCTGCTGTTTTTGCTAGTATGCGTAATCACAAAGACTTTAAATTGCTGCAATTTATTTTTTGGAAGATGTAGCAAAGGTTCTAGTGTCCGTTTCTAACATGGTGGCATTGAGAAGCTGGACATTGGACATCCCTTTTACTAGTTGTGATGGCAGTAGAGGTGGTGTTGATTTCCAAGCCCCATAGCCCTCCAATGGTGGCAGAAGCCATTGCTTCTTGGTGTACCAGTTTAGTTGTGTATTTCTGGGGGTTATTCTTGGAAGCTCAGTCAAGATATTACTTTGTTTTGGCCACTTAAAAATGAATAATTCTTTTACACAACATGGTAACTATAGTCAATAATAATGTATTGTATATAGACATACCTCATTTTATTGCACTTCGCTTTAGTGTACTTTGCAGATTTTGTATTTTGTACAAATCACAGATTTATGGCAACCAAGTCTAATGGTTCCATTTCTCCAGTAGCATGTGCTCACTTCATGTCTGTGTCACATTTTGGTAATTCTCAAAATATTTCAAACTTGTTTATTATTATTATATCTCTTAGGGTAATCTGTGCTCAGTGATTTTTGCTGTTACTGTTCTGGTTATTTTGGGGCACCATGAACCTCATCCATATAAAATGGTGAATGTAATCAATAAATGTGTGCGTTCTCCATTGCTTCAAAGAGAATAAAATACCTAGGAATTCAACTTACAAGGGATGTGAAGGACCTCTTCAAGGAGAACTACAAACCACTGCTCAACGAAATAAAAGAGGATACAAACAAATGGAAGAACATTCCATGCTCATGGATAGGAAGAATCAATATCGTGAAAATGGCCATACTGCCCAAGGTAATTTATAGATTCAATGCATCCCCATCAAGCTACCAATGACTTTCTTCACAGAATTGGAAAAAACTTCTTTAAAGTTCATATGGAACCAAAAAAGAGCCCGCATTGCCAAGTCAATCCTAAGCCAAAAGAAAAAAGCTGGAGGCATCATGCTACCTGACTTCAAACTATACTACAAGGCTGCAGTAACCAAAACAGCATCATACTGGTACCAAAACAGAGATGTAGACCAATGGAACAGAACAGAGCCCTCAGAAATAATACCATGCATCTACAATCATCTGATCTTTGACAAACCTGACAAAAACAAGAAATGGGGAAAGGATTCCTTATTTAACAAATGGTGCTGGGAAAACTGGCTAGCCATATGTAGAAAGCTGAAACTAGATCCCTTCCTTACACCTTATACAAAAATTAATTCAAGATGGATCAAAGACTTAAATGTTAGACCTAAAACCATAAAAACCCTAGAAGAAAACCTAGGCAATACCATTCAGGACATAGGCATGGGCAAGGACTTCATGTCTCAAACACCAAAAGCAATGGCAACAAAAGCCAAAATTGACAAATGGGATCTAATTAAACTAAAGAGCTTCTGCACAGCAAAAGAAACTACCATCAGAGTGAACAGGCAACCTACAGAATGGGAGAAAACTTTTGCAATCTACTCACCCGACAAAGGGCTAATATCCAGAATCTACAAAGAACTCAAACAAATTTACAAGAAAAGAACAAACAACCCCATCAACAAGTGGGTGAAGGATATGAACAGACACTTCTCAAAAGAAGACATTTATGCAGCCAACAGACACATGAAAAAATGCTCACCATCACTGGCCATCAGAGAAATGCAAATCAAAACCACAATGAGATATCATCTCACACCAGTTAGAATGGCGATCATTAAAAAGTCAGGAAATGACAGGTACTGGAGAGGATGTGGAGAAATAGGAACACTTTTACACTGTTGGTGGGACTGTAAACTAGTTCAACCATTGCGGAACACAGTGTGGCGATTCCTCAGGGATCTAGAAGTAGAAATACCATTTGACCCAGCAATCCCATTACTGGGTATACACCCAAAGGATTATAAGTCATGCTGCTATAAAGACACATGCACACGTATGTTTGTTGCGGCACTATTCACAATAGCAAAGACTTGGAACCAACCCAAATGTCCATCAATGATAGACTGGATTAAGAAAATGTGGCACATATACACCATGGAATACTATGCAGCCATAAAAAGGATGAGTTCATGTCCTTTGTAGGGACATGGATGAAGCTGGAAACCATCATTCTCAGCAAACTGTCGCAAGGCCTAAAAACCAAACACCACGTGTTCTCACTCATAGGTGGGAACTGAACAATGAGAACACTCGGACACAGGAAGGGGAGCATCACACACCAGGGCCTGTTGTGGGGTGGGGGGAGTGGGGAGGGATAGCATTAGGAGATATACCTAAAGTAAATGATGAGTTAATGGGTGCAGCACACCAACATGGCACATGTATACATATGTAACTAACCTGCACGTTGTGCACATGTACCCTAGAACTTAAAATATAATAGAAAAAATATATTAAAATAAATAAATAAATAAATAAATTTGTGTGTTCTGACTGCTCCCCTGACCCCGTGTTTTCCCATCTCTTTCCCTCTCCCCAGGCTGCCCTCTTCTTTGAGATGCAACAATATTGAAATTAGGCCAATTAATAATTCTACAATGGCCTCTAAGTGTTCAAGTGAAAGGAAGAGTCACACATCTCTCATGTTAAATCAAAGGCTAGAAATGATTAAGCTTAGTAAGGAAGAAATGTCAAAAACCAAGATGGGCCAAAACCTAGGCCTCTCATGCCAAGCAGTTAACCAAGTTTTGAATGCAAAGGAAAAGTTCTTGAATGAAATTAAAAGTGCTACCCCCGTGAACACATAAATGATAAGAAAAGGAAACAGCTATATTGCTAATATGGAGAATGTTTTAGTCGTCTCGATAAATGATCAAACCAGCCTCAACATTCCTTTCAGCCCAAGCCTAATCCAGAGCAAAGCCCTAACTCTTTTCAATTCTATGAAGGCTGAGAGAGGTGATGAAGCTGCAGAAGAAAAGTTGGAAGGTAACAGAGGTTGGTTCATGAGGTTTAAAGAAGGGAGCTATCTCCATACATAAAAGTGCAAGGTGAAGCAGCAATGCTGATGTAGAAGCTGCAGGAAGTTATATAGAAGACCTAGCTAAGATCATTGATGAAGGTGTCTACACTAAACACTGTATTTCCAATGTAAAAGAAACAGCCTTCTATTGGAAGAAGAAGCCACCTGGAATATTCAAGCTAGAGAGGAGAAGTCAGTGTCTAGCTTCAAAGTTTTAAAGGACAGGGTGATTCTCTTATTAGGGGATAATACAGCTGATGACTTTGAGTTGAAGCCACCCATTTACCATTGTGAGAATCCTAAGGCCCCTCAGAATTATGTTAAATCTACTCTGTTTGTATTCTATAAATGCAACAGAAAAGCTTGGAAGATAGCACATCTGTTTACAGCATGGTTTATTGAATGTTATAAGCTCACTATTGAGATCTCCTGCTCAGATGAAAAGATTCCTTTCAAAATATTCTTGCTTATCGACAATACACCTAGTCACACAGGAGCTCTGATGAAGATGTACAAGGAGATGTATGTTGTTGTCATGCCTGCTAACACAGTATCCATTCTGCAGTCCATGGATGAAGGAGTAATTTTGATTTTCAAGTCTTATTATTTAAGAAATACATTTCATAAGGCTTTAGCTGCCATAAATAGTGATTCTTCTCATGGATCTGGGCAATGTAAATTGAAAACTTTTGGGGAGGATTTACCATTTTAGGATACCCTTCAGAATATTCATGGTTCATGGAAGGAGGTCAAAATAGCAACATTAGAAGGAGTTTTGAAGAAATTGACTCCAATCCTCATGGATGACTTTGAGGGGTTCAAGGCTTCAGTGGAGGAAGGAACTGCCAATGTGGTGGAAGAATCAAGAGAACTAGAATTATAAGTGGAGCTGGAAGACGAGGCTAAATTGCTGAAATCTCATGATAAACTTGAATGGATGAGGAATTGCTTCTTACGGACAAGCAAAGAAATACAATGTACTCATGATGAAGCTGCTATAAACATTGTTGAAATGACAACAAAGGATTTAGAATGTTACATAAACTTAGTTGATAAAGTAGCATCTGGATTTGAAAGGACTGGCTACAGTTTTGAAAGAAGTTTTATTGTGGGTAAAATGCTATCAAACCCCATTGCGTGCTATATAGAAATCTTTTATTAAAGGAAGAATCAATTGATGCAGCAAACTTCATTGTTCTTATTTTAAGAAATTACCACAGACATAAAAAGGAATGAAATCATGTCATTTGCAGTAACATGAATGCAGCTGGAGGCCATCAGCCTAAGGAAATTAACACAGGAACAGAAACCAAATACGGCATGTTCTCACTTATAAGTGGGAGCTAAACAATGAGTTCTTATAGACATAAAGATGAAAACAATAGACACTGCAGATTTCTAGAGGGGAAGCGTGGCTAGGGGACTAAGGTTTGAAAAACTATTGGGTACTCTGCTTAGTATCTGGGTGATGGGATCAATCATACCCCAAACCTTAGCATCATGAAATATACTCAGGTAACAATCCTGCACATATACCCCTTGAATCTACAATAAAAGTTGAAACTATTTTAAAAGAATCTGAAAAAATGCACTGTCTAATAGGAATACTATGTGAGCTGTGTATTTTATTTAAACTTTTCTAGCAGCTACATTTTAAAAAGCAAAAAAGAAACAGTTAAAATGAATTACAGCAATATATTTTAGTTTACCCAATATATCTAAAATGTTATCATTTCAATGTGTATCAATATAGACAATTATTAATGAAAAACAAGGAATTAACACAGCCGCCCCAACCTTTAGCAACCACCACCCTAATCAGTCAGCAGCCATCAATGTCAAGGGAAGACCCTCCACCAGCAAAACTATTACCACTCGTTGAAGGCTCAGATCATTGTCAGCATTTGTTCACAATAAAGCAATTTTAAATTAAGAGATATACATTGTTTTCTAAGACATAATGCTATTGCACTCTGCTATAAACATAACTTTCATATGCACTAGGAAACCAAAAAATTTGTGACTCATCTTATTGTGATTTTATTTATTATTATTTTTTTTTACAATGGTCTGGTACCAAAGCTAGTATCTCTGAAGTATACCTGTGTTTCAAAAAAAACAAAGACAGTAAATTTCTTTTTTTTTTTCTTTTTTTGAGATGGAGTCTCACTCTGTTGCCCAGGCTGGAGTGCATTGGGGTGATCTCTGCTCACTGCAACCTCCGCCTCCCACGTTCAAGTGATTCTCCTGCCTCAGCCTCTCAAATAGCTGGGACTACAGGCCTAGGCCACCATGCCTGGCTAATTTTTCTATTTTTAGTAGAGATGGGGTTTCTCCATGTTGGCCAGGCTGGTCTCGAACTTCTGACCTCAAGTGATCCACCCATCTCAGCTGCCCAAAGTGCTGGAATTACAGGTGTGAGCCACTGCACCCTGCCAAAGACAGTAAATATCTAACGCATCATTAAATCAAGCTAACGAACATATCTATTATCTCATTTAGCAATCTTTTTTATGATTGGTAAATGAGATAATAGATATGTTTGTTAGCTTGATTAAATCATTCCACATTGTATACATATATCAAAACATCACATTGTACACCAAAAATGTATATAAAGATTTGTCAATCAAAAATAATAGTAATTAAAAAATAATGAATTCTCTAAATTAGATATCTTTTTGGTTATACTAGGTGGAGGAGATTCTGACAACTTCAAATGATTAAGGAGAACCTCTTTTAAAGGAGATATGAATGAGGATGTCTATTACAATGTTACATGCAGTAGCTGGGAGTTAGAGGCCATTGTTTACCAGCATTGAGGGGATGAATTTATAAAATGAGATGGGTGGACACTCAAGAATACTATGCAACAATTAGAAGCAAGGAGCCACATTTCCACATAGTAACATGGACAGATCTTAATAGCACTTAGTTAAAAAAAAAAAAAGATGATGCTATAGCATAATGCCATTTATTCAAATTGAGAAACACAGGCGTAAAAGACAATGATATGATTGAAAATGACATACATCCTTATTTGATCTTTCCTGCAATAGAATGAGTGACTAATTGGGGAAGAAAAACAAAAGCAGTGAATGCAGAAACAAAGAATAAATAAAGAAGAAGCCCTTTCACATACTCTTGAGGAATTTAGGAGAATGATTTATAAAAATCTTTGCACCTAGGATGGGGGAGGGAAAGAGAACCAATGTAATATATCACAAGATAAAATACTTCTAAGTATCTCTAACACCACATCATAATGCAGTATAAACTTTTTCTGTGCAATAAAAAAGGAACGACATTGACAAAAAATAATGCCCATGAGGAAAGAGAGTAGGATGATGAGAGGGCTATGAAATATGTCATGAAACAAAGTTTTAAGACCTTGAGGATCTTCAGCCTGGAGACGAACAGAGAGGAGGGTGGGTGACCAACTCTCCTGGTTGTCCTGGAACTTTCTCAATCTTAGCATTGAAAGTCCTTTCTCCTAGGAAATCCTTTTAGTCCAGGGCAAACCACGGATGGTTGGTCAACCTAGCGAGGCATAATTTCTATCTTCAACTATGTAAAGAACTTTCATAGAGAAAGAGGAATTAAACTGGCTCTATGCAACTTCAGAGGGCAGGTTTTAGACCACTGAAAGGAACCATGTTAGAGAAAAAAAAAGTTTGGCCTAATACATGGAGTATTTTTTATTTTATTTTTTATATATAATGGACTTTGGTTTTTTTTTTTTTATTTTACTTTAAGTTCTGGGATACATGTGCAGAACATGCAGATTTGTTACAGAGGTATACATGTGTCATGGTGGTTTGCTGCACCTATTAACTTGTCATGTAGTTTTTAAGCCCCACATGCATCAGCTATTTGTCCTAATGCTCTTCCACCCCTTGCTCCCCACCCGCAACAGGCCCTAGTGTGTGTTGTTCTCCTCCCTATGTCCATGTGTTCTCATTGTTCAACTCCCACTTACAAGTGAGAACTACATGGAGCATTTTCTAATGACAAATTGTGAATCAGTGAGCAGGCTATCTTTGTCTACAACAATTAGTAATGTTAAATGTCGTAAAAATTGGAGTTTACCAATTATACAACAAAATAATGTAATGTATGTGACCTGGTTTAATAGATCTGTTAAAGAAAGACACATCCACATACTCTCCCACTTACCATCTTTATGATGGTAGTAGATAAAAACAGATCATGACAGTAGCTGTCATACTACTGACCACTGCTATTCAGTGAGTACCTGCCAGGTACATAATCTCATTAGAGCTTCACCGTACTGCATTTAATTTATGACAAAACAAAATAACATTCCCAAGGTCAGGCAATTAGGGATTTGAACATAGTGCTGTCTGACTCCAAAAAGTCAATGCTCTTAACCACTATCTTTTAAGACAATTTAAAACTTTCAACACCAAGATGGTAAAATTAAGTGCTACATTGTATGTTATAGACTAACAATGCTCAGAAACTCAGAGGTAAAGAATTTCAATGAAATTCAATGTGCTTTCAGAGAGAAATTGTGACTTGATGTTGAAAATACTCGATTCTCCTAAGAAGTCTAGTAGCAGACACAATCCTGAAAGTCTGTCTCTGGATGGAAAGCTCAATGACAATTGATAAGGAAAGAGCTTTGAAGAGCTTCACTATGTGCTAACTACAGTAGCCCATGATAGACTCTCCTATTGTTGAGCCTTGAAAAGCAAATGCAGTTTGTTTGTTTATTTATTTATTTATTCATTATACTTTACATTCTAGGGTACATGTGTAGAACGTGCAGATTTGTTACATAGGTGTGCACGTGTCATGCTGGTTTGCTGCAACCATTAACTCGTCATTTACATTAGGTATTTCTTCTAATGCTATCCCTCCCCCAGTACCCCACCCCCTGACCGGCCCTGGTGTGTGATGTTCCCCACCCTGTGTCCATGTGTTCTCATTGTTCAACTCCCACCTATCAATGAGAACATGCAGTGTTTGGTTTTCTGTCCTTGTGATAGTTTGCTTAGAATGATGGTTTCCAGCTTCATCCATGTCCCTGCAAAGGACATGAACTCATCCTTTTTTATGGCTGCATAGTATCCCATGGTGTATATTTGCCACATTTTCTTAATCCAGTGTATCATTGATGGACATTTGGGTTGGTTCCAAGTCTTTGCTATTGTTGATATTGCTGCAATAAACATACATGTGCATGTGTCTTTATCACAGAATGATTCACAATACTTTGGGTATATGCCCAGTAATGGGATTGCTGGGTCAAATGGTATTTCTAGTTCTAGATCCTTGAGGAATCGCCACCCTGTCTTCCACAATGGTTGAACTAATTTACACTCCCACCAACAGTGTAAAAGCGTTTCTATTTCTCCACATCCTCTCCAGCGTCTGTTGTTTCCTGACTTTTTAATGATCGCCATTCTAACTGATGTGAGATGGTACCTCATTGTAGTTTTGATTTGCATTTCTCTGATGGCCAGTGATAATGAGCATTTTTTCATGTGTCTGTTGGCTGCATAAATGTCTTCTTTTGAGAAGTGTCTGGTCATATCCTTTGCCCACTTTTTGATGGGTCATTTGTTTTTTTCTTGTAAATTTGTTTAAGTTCTTTGTAGATTCTGGATATTAGCCCTTTGTCAAATGAGTAGATTGGAAATATTTTCTCCCATTCTGTAGGTTGCTTGTTCACTCTGATGATGGTTTCTTTTGCTGTGCAGAAGTTCTTTAGTTTAATTAGATCCCATTTGTCAATTTTGGCTTTTGTTGCTATTGCTTTTGGTGTTTTAGTCATGAAGTCCTTGCCCATGCCTATGTCCTGAATGGTATTGCCTAGGTTTTCTTCTAGGGTTTTTATTGTGTTAGGTCTTACATTTAAGTCTTTAATCCATCTTGAGTTAATTTTTGTATATGGTGTAAGGAAGGGATCCAGTTTCAGCTTTCTACAAATGGCTAGCCAGTTTTCCCAGCACCATTTATTAAATAGGGAATCCTTTCCCACTTGCTTGTTTTTGTCAGGTTTGTCAAAGATCAGATGGTTGTAGATGTGTGGTGTTATTTCTGAGGGCTCTGTTCTGTTCCATTGGTCTATATCTCTGTTTTGGTACCAGTACCATGTTGTTTTGGTTGCTGTAGCCTTGTGGTATAGTTTGAAGTCAGGTAGCATGATGCCTCCAGCTTTGTTCTTTTTGCTTAGGATTGTCTTGGCAATGCGGGCTCCTTTTTGGTTCCATATGAACTTTAAAGTAATTTTTGCCAATTCTGTGAAGAAAGTCAGTGGTAGCTTGATGGGGATAGCATTGAATCTATAAATTACTTTGGGGAGTATGTCCATTTTCACGATATTGATTCTTCCCATCCATGAGCATGGAATGTTCTTCCATTTGTTTGTGTCCTATTTTATTTCATTGAGCAGTGGTTTTAGTTCTCCTTGAAGAGGTCCTTCACATCCCTTGTAAGTTGGGTTTCTAGGTATTTTATTTTCTTTGTAGTAATTGTGAATGGAAGTTCACTCATGATTTGGCTCTCTGTCTATTATTGATGTATAGGAATGCTTGTGATTTTTGCACATTGATTCTGTATCCTGAGACTTTGCTGAAGTTGCTTGTCAGCTTAAGGAGATTTGGGGCTGAGATGATGGGGTTTTCTAAATATACAATCATGTAATCTGCAAACAGACAATTTGACTTTCTCTTTTCCTAACTTAGTACCCTTGATTTCTTTCTTTTGCCTGATTGCCCTACCCAGAACCTCCAAAACTATGTTGAATAAGAGTGGTGAGAGAGGGCATCCCTGTCTTGTGCCAGTTTTCAAAGGGAATGCTTCCAGTTTTTGCCCATTCACTATGATATTGTCTATGGGTTTGTCATAAATAGCTCTTATTATTTTGAGATACATTCCATCAATACCTAGTTTATTGAGAGTTTTTAGCATGAAGTGCTGTTGAATTTTGTCAAAGGCATTTTCTGCATCTATTGAGATAATCATGTGGTTTTTGTCGTTAGTTCTGTTTATGTGATAGATTACATTTATTGATTTGTGTATGTTGAACCAACCTTGCATCCCAGAGATGAAGCCAACTGGATCGTGGTGGATAAGCTTTTTGATGTGCTGCTGGATTCAGTTTGCCAGTATTTTACTGAGGATTTTCGCATCGATGTTCATCAGGGATATTGGCCTAAAATTCTCTCTCTCTCTCTTTTTTTTGTTGTATCTTTACCAGGCTTTGGTATCAGGATGATACTAGCCTCATAACATGAGTTAGGGAGGATTCCCTCTTTTTCTATTGATTGAAATACTTTCAGAAGGAATGGTACCAGCTCCTCTTTGTACCTGTGGTAGAATTCGGCTGTGAATCCATCTGGTCCTGGACTCTTTTTGGTTGGTAGGCTATTAACTATTGCCTCAATTTCAGAACCTATTATTGGTCTAGTCAGAGATTCAACTTCTTCCTGGTTTAGTCTTGGGAGGGTGTATGTGTCCAGGAATTTATCCATTTCTTCTACATTTTCTAGTTTATTTGTGTAGAGGTGTTTATAGTATTCTCTGATGGTAGTTTGTATATCTGTGGGATCGATGGTGATATCCCCTTTAACATTTTTTATTGCGTCTATTTAATTCTTCTCTCTTTTCTTCTTTATTAGTCTTGCTAGAGGTCTATCTATTTTGATGATCTTTTCAAGAAACAAGCTCCTGGATTCATTGATTTTTTGAAGGGTTTTTTTTTTTGTCTCTATCTCCTTCAGTTCTGCTCCGATCTTAGTTATTTCTTGCCTTCTGCTAGCTTTTGAATGTGTTTGCTCTTGCTTCTCTAGTTCTTTTAACTGTGATGTTAGGGCGTCAACTTTAGATCTTTCCTGCTTTCTCTTGTGGGCATTTAGTGCTATAAATTTCCCTCTAAGCACTGCTTTAAATGTGTCCCAGAAATTCTGGTATGTTGTGTCTTTTTTCTCATTGGTTTCAAAGAACATCTTTATTTCTGCCTTCATTTCGTTATGTATCCAGTAGTCATTCAGGAGCAGGTTGTTCAGTTTCCATGTAGTTGAGCAGTTTTGAGTGAGTTTCTTAATCCTCAGTTCTAATTCGTTTGCACTGTGGTCTGAGAGACAGTTTGTTGTGATTTCTGTTCTTTTACATTTGCTGAGGAGTGTTTTTACTACCAATTATGTGGTCAATTTTAGAATAAGTGTAATGTGGTGCTGAGAAGAATATATATTCTGTTGATTCGGGGAGGAGAGTTCTGTAGATGTCTATTAGGTCTGCTTGGTCCAGAGCTAAGTTCAAGTCCTAGATCTCCTTGTTAACCTTCTGTCTCGTTGATCTGTCTAATATTGACAGTGGGATGTTAAAGTCTCCCATTATTATTGTGTGGGAGCCTAAGTTTCGTTGTAGTTCTCTAAGGACTTGCTTTATGAATCTGGGTGCTTCTGTGTTGGGTGCGTATATATTTAGGATAATTAGCTCTTCTTGTTGAATTGATACCTTTACCATTATGTAGTGTCCTTCTTTGTATCTTTTGATCTTTGTTGGTTTAAAGTCTGTTTTATCAGAGACTAGGATTGCAACCCCTGGAAAAGCAGATGCAGTTTCTGTCTCTAAAGACAGAGTGGATAACTAGAGTAGTTACAACTGCATTTAATAATAATAATAATTAATAGTAACAATGGCTATCTTTCTTTATGCATATACTATGTGCTAAGCATGGTGCAAAGTGCTTTGCATGCATTCAGAGCCAATCACAGGGATGCAATAGACTGTCCATAAATATTTGATGAGCAAGTAATCTCATTTAGTTTTCTGCTGCATAGCCATACCTGGAGACCCTACACAACTCTAAATAGCAGGTCCTATTATTATGCAGTCACTGAAGATCAGAAAAGAATTTTATTGCTACTGTCATCTTCTGTTTTTCCCTACTACCATTGTAAAAATGGTAAGTGGGAGAGTATATGGATATACCTTCCTTTAACAGATTTATTGAACTAGGTCACATACATTATTTTCTTGTATAATTGGTAAACCCTAATTTTTGCAACATTTTAATATTACTAATCATCACACTTCTTCTTTTAGGTTTTTAACCCATTTGTCTTCCCAGTGGAGATATTTTACATTTTTGCTCTGAATTTATTTTCATTAGTTTTATTCATTTTTTGGATGGAGATATTTTAAACTTTATTTTGTCATCTATCATGGTTTCCAAAATCATGTCTGATGACAAGGATTACCCGGGGTTCTTATTTACAATGATTTGTAGGCATGCCTCTGGAGATTCTATCTCAGAATCTGTTTATAGCTCCATCTCATTGTATTGTGTTATAATTAGTTATTTACTATGCAGTGACTTTCTCAAGGCACACAATTCTCAACAGTAGTTTGTTGAATGAATAAATGTATCATATAGACTTACCATGTAAATCCTCACCAAGTAATTTGTACAGTTGTTAAAGAGAAAAGGCAAAGAAGTGATGATGATGCTTTTGTTCCAGAATAATTTTAATTTATTCATTAATACTATCATTCATTGACAAATTTAATCAACTACAAATGTGTCTAAATGGCATTATCTTCCTGCTAATTTTTTCTATCTTTTTCACGTGAATGTTATGCGAGATTTGTCAAATGCTTGAGCAGGAGAGAGAGTTTGGCAGCATCTGTGATTTGAATCATTTATATCCCAAAATGACTTTATTTTTAAAATGCTCCTAAATTTTGCTAGTAATCAGTGAGTCTGCCCATAGTCTTTTAAATTCATCCTTAGTTGTCTTTTAGAAGACAAACACTTTCCATCTCCTGTCTTGTGGCATTTCTCTAGCCCTTCAATATTTTAAAAATTCCTGAAAGTGTTTCTAATATCTCAACTCAGGGACAGATTTCACTTGAACTGGATTAGTTGAATAACTTTAATCTTCTAGTTAAGCATTCATCCATTCATTCAGTTTATTGCCTTTGTTGAGTATCTACAATATGTCAGATTTTGTGCAAGATACTTGGGAAACAGCAATGAATAATGATGTGGTCCTCACAGTTTAGGCAGGGATAACAAAACTAAACAGTTGATTATATTATGATGAAGGTAAGCTGGAGCTGCTTACAAGAGAACAGTGAAGGGGCCTTCTACATTAGCTTGGCATCAGAGAAACCTACGAGAGCTGATTCTTGGGCTCTGGCTTAATGGATTCTCAGGCAGAGACATGGGAAAGGACATTTTAGGCAGAAGCAGAACATTTGCCAAGCATAGAGGCAGGGTAGGACTTAGAGGAAACTGAGGAAGAGAACTAGCAGGAATTAGGGCCCTTTCTCTCCAAGACCCAATGCAAGATCTCTTAGGAAGCATAGTCATTAAAGAATCCTCTCCTTGTCCTCTACTTGAACTCCTCTAGTTGTGGGCAATTCTCAGCTCACAAGGTAACCACTCAATAACAATGTAT
The DNA here is from genome assembly GCF_000001405.40 of Homo sapiens. Lineage (NCBI taxonomy): Eukaryota > Metazoa > Chordata > Mammalia > Primates > Hominidae > Homo > Homo sapiens. The sequence continues at coordinate 56,269,140 of NC_000001.11, read as the reverse complement.
TGGCATATGATGAGGAATTGTATGGAAACAATATTGCCCCAACCAATGATCTGAAAGACTCAAACAGATTCCAGTGGGGCTGATGGGAAAGAATGAGAGATTTTATAAAGTGGATTCTGAAGAAGCCCATATGCGTTTAAGTCTTATTGCAAGCACATACCTTGTATAATCGTTTTAGTTAGTGCCGTGTGCTCCTTATCCCACTCACAAAGCCGCCTGGAAAGCTAGGATTTATATTTATCCATGGTTGCACCGTCTGCAATCCAGAAGCTTTGCCTTTGACTCTTGCAGCAGTTTTCATTTAAATAAAAATAAAATTGAAATCAAATGCTGCATTTCGAGCTGCTCTGCTTTCTTTGTCATTTACTAATCAGCCCTTCTCATTATTTAACCTCAGAAACCAGAGCCACTGAAACTGATGCGTGGAACTGCATACCTGCCATCCATTTGTTTATTAACTTTACTTATTCTCTAGTTTCCCTATGAAACTCTCCCACATGTTAGTTTCATGTAGTCCAGCTAAACAAGTGTTTCTCAAGGTGTGGACTCCAACACATACACACATCAGAATCACTGGAAAGTTTACTCAAAATGATGATTCCCCAGACCCCACACAGACTTTCTGCATCAGAATTTCTGGATTTAATGCCCAAGTATCAGCGTATTAATCTCTGGTTGATTCTTATTAATATTCACCTATTATGTGCATCTACTCTGAGTACTGTGAGTACCAGTGCTTGGGGTTCAAAGTTGAATGAGACACAGTTAGTTCTGGCTCCCAAGCCGCAGTCTTGTTGGTGACAGATGAACACACTCATTTTATCCAAACTGATAAGTGTAGGGGTGAAGCACACTCATTAGATTAATAAGCACTATGTCAAGACATGATGGTGAGTGATGGAACAGGAACTTTGCTGCTATTGATTAAAAACATCAAAGTTCATTAATTATTTTAAATAAAATATACATTAAGTCAGATTCAAGGTTTCTTATGGTAGCATATTTTTATTATGAAAACTTTCAGACATACACAAAAGCAGTATGACTGTAACAACAACAGTAGAAAGAATAACTACAGTATGATAATAGTAGTGTTGTGTAATAGTGTAATGAACTCCATACACCCGATACATACATAAGAACTTTTTCTCCCTTGCTTCATCAACCCCTCCACCCCCAGTTCTGCCCAATTATTTGCCTTTTCGAATCCCAGATCTCATGTCCTTTCATCATACAGAGTCCAGGATATATCACTTAGGAATATGGACATTGTCTTAGCTAACCATAGGATCATGATCACATCTAAAGAAACTCACTATAATGCCTGGTGCAATATTCAAATTCCTCCAGTTATCTCAAGAATGTGATGTTACTGTTGACTTATTCAAATCAGGATCAAACAAGATCCACATATATTGCATTTAGTTGTATTTCTTAAGTCTCTTGGAATCTAAAACAGCCTGTCCTCCTTGCCCTCTTTCCCCGACCCCTCCATTTTTATTCTATTTTTTATTGACAAAACCATGTCTTATAGAAAGACTCACATTCTGAATTTTCTGTTTGTCTCTTTGGGGTTTCATTTAACTGATTTCTCTAACTCTCCTATTTATAGCAAACTTTAGAAGTTCATTCTAAAGTCTTGATTTGTTTTAAGTCCGAGGTCTATTTCCTAGAATATTTAATTGTCAGGGCCGTGTACTTCCTTGTTGCATCATATTAGAGAGCACATAAAGTCTGGTTGTCCCATTTTTCAGGATGCTAATTTAATCAAGCGTTCAGGTGGTGACAGTCTGGTATCTCTATTCTAAAATTTCCCTTTAATCTTTCATCAGATGGTTTCATCTATGGGTAATCTTTGCTTGAGTCAATTATTTCATTAGGGATTGAAAAGTGACAATCTCTCTAATTCTAATTCCTTTTACATTTATTGCCTATAATTCTTCTGTAAAGAGCCATTATGCTCACAGCTATGAATGTCTGATTACCCTCAAACATATTTTATAAAGCAAAAATAGGATACATTTTTTTCGCCTTTAATCGGCAATTAAATGCCTATATTCACAGAGTTTGTGCTTAGTTAAAACTAATGATGGTTGAGTGTGGTGGCTCATGCCTGTAATCCCAGCACGTTGGGAGGCCAAGACAATAGGATCGCTTGAGCCCAGGAGTTTGAGACCAGCCTGGGCAACATGATGAAACCCTGTCTCTACAAATAATATGAAAATTAGCTGGGTGTGGTGGCACATGCCTGTAGTCTCAGCTACTGGGGAGGGTGAGGCAGAAGGATCACTTGAGCCTAGTGGGATCCCACTACTGCACTCCAGCCTGGGTAACGGAGAGAGGCCCTGTCTTAAAAACAACAACCAACAACAAAAGAACTAAAACTAATGATAAACACTGAGAACATGGAGGTTATTTTATTTTCCTATTATCATTAAGAGTGCCTGGGTCTTATATGCAGTGTTTCAATACACTTCAGTCATCATTATTTTGGCCCTGAGTTCTTTTATTACATCCTTGCTAGTCTTTGATAACTTCCCTATCTTCTGGTAAAAGAAGTTCCTGGAACTTTCTCTTTCCAGACCTTAATCATCATTGAGTCGTGGAGAAGTTCCTGTTTCTTTTGGACAGGAATAGCATTTAAAAGTCACAATTTGGGTGCTAGTTATGCTCACTGCCATGCGGTTGTAATTGCTTTTAGGCCCTTTTAGTAGGCAGAGCTAGAAAATATCTATTTTTAAAAATTCACGAGTTTAAACTAATAATTTTCAACTCAAATATAGCAATATATGGTTTAACTTGTTTATTGAATTTACATTTGGATCTCTCTTCTCCCATACTGAAAATCTTGGTTCTTGATAAAATTCGCATAAGTACTTACATGTTATGTCCATAATATATTCTTATTCTCTTTTCACTCTCACTTGCATTCCAATATAATTTCTTAACTGGGAGTCAAAGGGGGAAAGTTCCAGCTGGCATAATGCTTGCTAATATTTCTCAGGTGCGTATTAAGCGATGGGAAAATTTTAACTGGCCCATGTTTAAGTTGTTAAGTCATTTAATCCTCACACCAATCCCTGGAGATGGGTACTGTAATTATTCCCATGTTAGAATTGGGGAAACCAATGAACCAAGAGGTATAATACGTGGCTCAAGTTTACACAAATGGTAAGTGGTAGAGCTGGACTTTGGATAGACTAATCAGGCTGTAGAGCTTCTACTCTCAACCATGAAGAAACAGTGCCTGTATGAAGCCATCTGCTCTAGGTCATAGAAAAAGAGGTTGAGAAATCTAATATCCAAGACTCTTCAGTCCACACCTACCACTTCTTTCTCCTTCAGTACTGACTAAATCTAATCCATTTTGTTCTCTATGCTTTGCTATTGAAGATTGTAGAAATTTAATAAATACTTTCAGATCTACTTGTAATCATTTATTCAGTAAACCAGTAACTGAAGACAATCTGATTTATATGTAGGCTAAACTGGAAAGAAGGTTTATTTTTGTTGTATTTTTAGGAAACAAGTGTACTAAATATAAACTTTGTTTTTTAAGAACAAGCCCAACTACTATTCCACTACTGTACCAATCTCCTTTGATTTCATTAACTGTTAGAATTGAGTCTGGGTGGTTTAGGGGAAGTGCATAGAAGACTTGGGCCCTCATCATTTTAGTTTTCACATATGAGAAGTTGGGGGAAGCACATCAGAGGCTCTGACCACAGGAGTGCTTTGAGGTTAGAAGATTCTGGGCCCAAGTTGTGGAGCAAGGGTATTTACTTAAAACTTGAAGCAGCATAGCTTAAGTGATACTGAGACTGTCCAGGGTAGCCAAGAAATATATTAGCCAAAAAGAAGAATGAAGCATTAAGGCAACCTGTTAAGGCAAAGAATGCAAAGAGAAAATAATAAGTCAGTAGTAGTAGCAGGATAGAATCAGGGACAAGTGTTGGACAAGAACAATTCTGAACTATGGTGGTGGATGAAAGAGAGAAGTGTGCTGGAGTCTCATTTACATGATGTTTAGTGTGGATTTCCCAGTGGCTATGGCAGTTTAAAGCCTTGCTGCACTATCTCTGTTTCATCTCAGGCCAACTGGATCAGAATCTCCATTTTAGCAAGATTGTGGGAGATTGAGGAACACATTAGAGTTTAAGGAGCACAGATCTAAGGGACTTTTCCAATGGCAACTGGGTGATTCAGGGAGGTCCGTTTCCCACCGTGGGCCTTCAATTCCTCATTTGTAAGATGCAAGAGACACATTTAAGCTTCCAAAGTACTTCTTAACATTGGAATCTCTCTTGGACTATGCTATGGATGCTGTCTCCTCCTTAGCACCAGGATAGAACACAGTATGAAGGAGCTGGAGCATTTGGGTCCAGCCATGTTGGCAGAGCTCTCTGAGCCATCTTAGGTCACGAATCCCAGGCCTGCCTTGCCCAGATGGCCCACAAGCTGGGCTGAGCCACATGGAGGCACCTCTCCATTGAGAGAGATGAAATGCTCCCTGATCAGGTCTAGGGGCTAAGTGACACAACCCAGATATGTGGGGAGTTAGCTCCCTACCGGGTGAACTTGACCAATGGGAAAAAAGAGACCAGGATGAGCAAGGCAGATGCATTTCTTTCCTTTATCCCTTCTGCGGAGTGCTCTGAGTTGTGGTGTCTGCTTGAAAACCTTCTGGAAATTCATATCTGCTGAAGAACTGAACAAACCTTTGTAGAATGAGCATCTCTTTGCAGCTGATCGTGAAGAGCTGCATCACATTCATGCACACCTCACGTTCATCCAAACATTTCCCCCTCACTTCTGCTTTCTTTCTCACACTGGCCTTGCCTGGCTTGAACCTACAAAATGAATTAGCAGCACTTTGATCCCTAACTCAGACCACTTTTAGAGGGCAAAGTCTAAATTAAATGCCAAATATACCATGTTGTTTAATTGGGGGAAGTGCCGTCATCCCATTTTATAGAATATAGACAAATCATGAGTGTGAGTTGTTCAAGGTCACGTGATCAGCATGTGCCAGAACAGGATTTTTATCCTAAGTCTATTGGCTCCGAATCCATGTACTTCTTTACTCAGATGTAATAACATGACAGTTTTCCCACTCAATCCTTACAACCACCCCAGAGGATAGGGATTATTGCCCTCAACTTACAGATGAAGAAACCAAGGCTCAGAAAGTTATCAGGTTTGCCCAAGATCACACAGAAATTAAGTGGTAGAACTCAGCCCCATTCAGAGGTCTGCATCATTACATAGCAGTTAACAAATGATTTATGATACCCATGAGCCTGTACAAGGGTTTTGTCCCCATATTACTATGACTTGCTCACAATCAAGCCTGATTAAATGATATGAAAATCACTGTGACAGAAAGCATTCTAATACACAAATCTTAGAAAAGAGGCTCAAAGTAGTTTTTAAACGAGCTTTTCTTGTGATTATTACTCTCATTTCACCAAAATGTTTCCTATGGAGTTCTTCATGGTAACATCCTGTAGCAGTCTTGAGTTGTCCCCACACTCACTTCTACCCCACATACAAAGATAAACAATTGGAATTGTCAAAATACAATAGATCAAGATCCATGGAATATATTTTGATATCATGACTTCAAATAAATACCAATCTATCTGCACAGTCTTCCCTATCCACCCCTGTCTCTGATCCCCTTTCTGTAGATGGTACAGAATTATTCCAACAATCACTGGCTTTTATTCTTTGTCTCTTCTTTAGCCACATCATTTGTGGGGAAAAATTATAGGAGGAAAAAATCTCCACCCCATCTGGGATGCTTGAAAATCTGCAGGTTTTGAAGTCTGGCCTGGGCTGGAAAAAAAATAAGAGGAAAATGACCTTGAAAATGGATTCAGAATACTTCATGAGAGCCATGCTATCTACCATGGTGGACCTGTGGAATAATTCCTTGTAGCCAACAGCTACAAATGAAACTGAAGCCACCGCAGATTGTAGGAGGCCATGCTGATGGTCCCCTCACACTGATCACAAAAGTCCCCTTCTTATGCAGGTTGATGGGGAAGTGCATGTCAGCCTTTCTACTTGAGCTTTCCTCCATCTTTGTACTCAGCCTTATTGCCTAGACCAGTCCCCTGTTTATTTTCTCTGCTTCCAGTATGGCCCCTCAAAATCTGACCATGTCATAAAATCCATTACCATTCCTTCAGGATAAAATCCAAATGCTTGAGTGTCTCATAAAAGGCTAGCACTGACTCCTGCTTCACTCTGCAGGCTCCCTTGGTTTGCTTTATATTTTAGAAACATCAGGTGTGTGCAGGTTGGGAGGAGTTAAGCTGCAATAACAAACATAAGTTCAGTGGATTATGTCTTGCTTATGCTACATGTTCACTGGGTGTTGGCTGGGGTCCCTGCTCCATGTGTCTTTCATTCATGTGCCCAAGGTAGCAGGATCTCTACCTGCTATTCTTGTGCTGTCCAACACAGTAGCTCCCAGATACATATGGCAACTGAGCACTTGAAATGGGGCTAGTCCAAACTAAGATGCTCTGTAAGTGTAAATTACACACAGCATCTCACAACGACTCAGTACAAAAAAAAGCTCATTGATAATTTATATATTGATTACATATTAAAATACTTTGAATATATTGAGTTAATATATTTTCTATATTATTAAAATTAATTTCACCTATTTCTCTTTACCTTTTATTTTAATATGGCTACTGGAAAATTTCAAATTAAATGTATGGATTACATTATATTTCCAATGGACAGTGCTAGTATCTCTAGTCACATACTGGGTGGGTACTGACTCTAAAAGCCTTCCTTGCGTAAATGACAGCTGTCACTTCTATTCACATTTCATCAGCCAAAGCCAGTCCCAGGCTCTACCTAACTTTAAAACAGCCGGATAGTGCTGTCTTAACATGTGCTTGAAAGGAGAGGAGATGAGGTGTATTCATGACCATCCCTAATGGTTACCCATTAACTCAGTGGATTTCTGAACAGGGCATAGATGACTTTGACAGGCTATTGCTTTTGGCTAAAAGATCCTCCCTTCCCACATACATTTGGCCAACTCCTATCCCTCTTTTAGAAGGTGGCTCAAATGTAACTTTTACTGGAAGGTCCTTCTGGATCCCATCTACCTACCCACCCCAGCAACATACATACCTTGTGAAGGGTTGGTCATACTACTCTCCTGACTGAATAGGACCTTGAACACCTCATCTAGTTCCTGAGGCTTTAAACTGCCACAGCTACCTAGGAAATGCACACGAAGCACCATGTAGATTAGACTTTAGCACACTTCCTTCTTTCATCCATCACCTTGGTTCAGAATTGTCTTCCTTGTCCAGCATGTATTCCTTAGTGACGTGTTTCTGCATCTGTTGCCATGACAAGCTCCCTGCTTCACCCATTGCTGTATCCCCAGCACCTCTCTCACTGCCTGGCAAGGGAAAGCACTCAGAAGACGCTGAATGACCAAGTAGGGTGATGGGTTGTACAGCACTGTTACTCCTTTTCCATCTCTGTGTCCCATGTGAACCTTATGGCACCCATGAGAAGGAGCTTGTACCAGGTTTATACTTTCTAGTTTACAGATGAGAAAACAGGATCAGAGTGGTACAGATATTGGTCTAAGTCACAGAGAAAGTGAATTGTAAAAGCAGAAACAGAGCACAGGCTGCCTGACTTCTAGTCCAGTGCTTTTTGCTCAAATTGCCTCTTATTTCTCAGGTTATTCTTGAAATGGCAGATGGGGATTCTGTTTAATGAAACAAAAGTGACAATTCTTTCTTTCTTGGAGAGAAGGTGGAGACAGGGTCTCACTCTATCACGCAGGCTGGAGTGCAGTGGCTCAATCATGGCTCACTGCAGCCTCAATCTCCTGGGCTCAAGTGATTCTTCCACCTTAGCCTCCTTGACTCACTGGGACTACAGGTGCACACCACCATACCTGGCTAATTTTTAAAGTTTTTTGTAGAGACAGGGTCTCACTATATTGTGCATTCTGGTCTTGAACTCCTGGTCCCAAGTGATCTTCCTGCCTCGGCTTTCCAAAGTGCTGGAATTACAGGCATCACCCACCATGCCTAGCCTGAAAATTCTTTCTATGTCCTTAACATCTTCTTTCCCAGTATTTCTCCATCCATCCATCTATTCACCCATTTATTTCACAAATATTTATTGAACACTTCCTATGAGCCTCCATCGACTGTCTTCTGGAACAAAGGCTCTTGAGTCAGAATGGATCAAGAAGCTCTCCCAGTTACTAGCTGTAAGGTCATGGTGAATTTAACCATTCTTTGTCTTAGTTTTTCAGTAAAATGGGAATTCTAATGATTCTTTGTTCACAGGGCTGTGTCGAGGATTTTCTATGTTCTACTGCTGCTCTAACAAATAACACAGACTTAGTACCTTAAAAATAACACCCATGTATTATCTCATAGCTCTGTGGCTTAGCCGTGTCTCTGCCCTGGGCTTTACAAGGCTAAAATTGAGGTGTCAGTAGTCCTGTGCTCCATTTTGGAAGCTCTGGGGATGAATCTACCTCCAGGCTCATTTAAGTTGTTGACAGAATTTAGTTCCTTGTGGGTATAGGGCTGAAGCTGCTGTTTCCTTTCTGACTGTTGGCCAGGAGTTATTCTCAGCCTCTAGGGGCCACTTGCATTCCTTGGCTTGTGGCCTCTTCCTCCATCTTTAAAGCCAGCAACATGTCAAGTCCTTCCCACACTTCGACTCTCTCTGACTTCCCCCTCTGCCTCTTCTCTCCTACTTCCAATTAGAGGAAAGTTCTCTACTTTCAAGGTCTTGTGTGATCAGATTAAGCCCATCCAGATAACCCCCCACCTCAAAATCTTTAACTTAATCACATCTGCAAAGTCTCTTTTGCCGTGTAAAGTAATATTTACAGGTTCTAAGGATCAAGATATGAACATCTTTGGGGGTCATTATTCTGCCTGCCATAAAGATTAAATGAAATAATGCATGTAATACACTTGGTAACATGCCTGGGCACACTGTAATTACTCAATAAGTGTTAGGTATTATGATTGCTATTGTTGTATTGTTATTACTTTTATCGTTGGTAAGGCAGGGAAGGGAGTGTTACCCTACATTATGAATAAGGAAATAGAAAGGCAGAGATGTGACTTAACTAGTTCGCTCTGATGGTACAGTGCATCACTGGGTGTTCATCTTTGCATTCCCAGTGCCTAGCATGGCATCTGGTAAACCATAAGAATCACTACTTTTTGAGCACTTGCTGTGTTTCAGGTGCTTTGCAAAAGTGTCTTTTCACCGGCATAACAACCCTGGAAGGCAGGCATTCTTAACCCATTTTGTAGTGGGGAAATGGAGGGTCAGATGTGTTAAGTAAAATCTCAAGGCCTGGAGCTCACAGGTAGTGAAACTGAGACTTGAACCCTAGTCAGTTTAATTGTAAGCACTGCCTCTTTCTGCCTCTGCATACTGACCCTCGGTTTGCCTTACTCCAACAGGAGATATTCCTTGATCAGCCCCATCCTTTCAGCATTGCTATTTTTACTTTTTGATACAGATATGAGGTTCAAAGAGGGTAGATGACTCACTCAAGGTCATAGAGGCACTAGATAGCAGAGATGGGATTTGAACGCAGGTTTAGCCTAATTCTGATGTCCTTGCTCCTTCTACCACTGTGCTGCTCAGGATATTTGCTGAGCTGGGGCTCAGCACCTAAGTGTTAAATGAATTAACAGCCCATTCCAGCCCTATTCCTGTCTTCGTATTTCACAGGAAAACAGCCAACAGGTGCTGTTGCTCTAGAGGACTTCAAGACTTGGGACAGTAGCCGGTTTTTTGAGGGCTGAAAGTGATGGACATTTTCCTCTGGGAATGAGAATTCTGTGAGGGACCCACACTGCCGGTGGTCTCAGCCTGCTTTTTCTTAGGACTTGACAGTGGGTCATTGTGGAGTTGCCCGTCATGGGTGCTGGCAAGACAATTACTACATTATTTTCCACTGTTTGGGATTATTTTTAGAAGGCCAGCTAAAGACCAGCGGAAAAGGAGTATGCGAGGTGGTGAAGCCCTGGTGTTACTCACAGCTTGCCACCTTTTCTGTCTTATTTCTGTTTATGGAAATTCAGTCAGGCTAAGGCCTCTGGTGCTTGCATGCAGGACAATGGTTTCAGGGGACTTCAGCCATCAAGAGGGCAAGAACAATTTTGTGTCAGTAACTGCTGATTGACCTAAAAACATATTGGAGGGTTTGTTTGGGCAACATAAAAACATGAAGTCATAAATATTTCTGACAATGATAATTGACACTTATCTTGGGTAACCCCGTTTGCTCCTCTGATCCTCGGTTTTTCTCATCCTTAAATATGGATAATAATATCAAATGACTAGGGCTACTTGGGCATCAAATGAAAAAATGTTAAGAACAGTGCATAAAACTGGGGCTAGCAGGGAGTAGAGGCTCAAAGTGGCGCTGTGATCCTTGCACAGGCACATCACCTGCTGCTGTGGGAGAACATGTGATGTGGGCAGCTCACCAAGCAAATGAGAGGCAAAACAGGTGCTGGCTGTCTTAATTCCAGAGGCTCTAACGCAGTCTCCTGCTGACTGAATCCTCTTCTCTGAGCCCGTTCATTCACTGTCTCTGCCAGCTGTTTCCAAGTGTGAACCCAGTGGAGACCTTTTCAAACTGTAGCCATGAAGCAGGTTGCATGAGGCAGTTCCATCTCCTGGCAACTGTCTCCATAGACACAGCCTGGTTTCGGTCCGCATCCCTTACCTAGGTAAGTACAACCCTTTCCTAACTGCTTTCCCCATTTCATTTTGGTCATACACTACTGCTGGAGCAACATTGGTAAAAATATTTACTTTAAAACCCTTAACCATCACTCAAGACCTCATCCACTCCAGGCTCACACTGGGGAGCAGGGTTTTCATTTCTCTCCACCTATCCTTACCTCACAGTACTGGCTGAGGGATGTGGTCTTTCCAAAGGATCTTGGAAGGTAAACAGTCCATTCGCCCCTCTGGATGCTTGAGGTTCCCTTTTGGAATCAAACGGAGCCATCCGAAGATCAGTGAACTGTGCAGAATCAAGCTGCGTTGTGTCTTCATGGCCTCTGTCCCTCATTGGGACACCATTGTGAATATTGTTGACTATATCACACAGTGCCTCCTGTGTGAAGCCCATGGAAGAAATTCTTTTAGAATTATCCTGGGGAAATAATTATGGATTGGCTCTCCTTTGTGCTTTGGCTGCCAGGAAACTGGAAGTCACACTTGAAACTGTACCATCGCAGCAAGTGAGACTTTATGGTCTGGGCTTTTGGGCTCTGTGTTCTTTCCCCACGTTAATCAATGATTCTTATGTATATTTTCTCTCATTCTCACTCTTTATGCTAATGAACCCAGTCATAGGATATAATTGAAATAAGAAATAAAGTGTCCGGTATTATAGAAGTTAATTTGTGAAGTAATAACACTTATTGAGTAATTGCTATGTGTGAGGCATTGTTCTAAGTCCCTTACATGCATTTTTCCATTTAATTTTCACACAAACCTTAAGTGGTAGGTGATATTATTGTCCCATTTTTACAGATGAGGAAACTGAGGCATGAAACAATAAGTGATTTGCCCAGTGTTATGCAGCAAGTAATTGCCAAGGTCAGACTTTGATGATGGGATAGTTTGACTCCAGAACCTAACACCTGAACCATTAGGCATTAAGCTTCCCAAGAAACAAGAGAAATGGGCATAGCCTAATTAAACCTTAGGTATCTTGTCTTTGCTTATAAGAGAAATGAGATGTGGTGTAGGTAAGAGGTTGCTAAGGTTGATGTACACATAGGAGCAACTAGAAAAGTGACTAGATCTGAGTGAGGCATCAGGCTCTGGAAGACCCCACTATGTTTCAGTGTGTTCTGGAATGGGGACATCTGTGAGCAGAGCCAGGGATTATTTCAGGTCAGGTAACTTTATCATATATATCCTACCTGCCTCTATAACTTAAGTTTCAGTCAGGCCAATTATTTTCAGTTCCACAGCCCTGCCAGCCAGCACACCCTCTTGCCCTGGGTGTGAATACGCTGCTCCTCTTTCACGTCCAGGCTTAGCCTTGTAACCCAGTCCATTTTTCAGGAAACAGCTCAGAAATCCCAGGGGTGCTTTCTTGGGTTAGATGTCCTGTCACAGTCCCCAAAGTTGCAAGTTGCTGTGTTTTTCTTTTCAACAGCGCTGAATGTACTATTAAAAAGGCCTGTTTATTGCTCTGTTTTCTCTTGTAGAATCTGAGATTCTTGAGGCCATGCAGCATGTTTTATTCTGCATTGCATGTTGGAGTCATTATGTTTGTTTGTGTGCATAGACTCTGCATGAAGATTTGTGAGGCAGAAAATCGTATCTGCTCTGTACTTCTATTTGCATGAATATTCAAATTATCATACAGTGTTATTTTACCGTGTGTGGTCTCACTCAGGCCTCATTGTGAAATAAAATAGTGTATAAACAAGCAAGCAAGCAAATAAACAAATACATGCAACTCAAATTTGCATAGTGCTTTATAGTTGAAATCATTTAATATCAATTATCTCATTGGTTATAACACTCTCATTTTGCATGTGAGGAAAGAGACTGCTCAGGATTGCTCAGCTTATAAGATAATTCAGGGCAGGCTCAAATCCAGAACAGGGGCTTTGGATAACACAGGTCCTGGGCATAAAGCCTGACCTGACCACTTGAGGGCCTCTTTGAAGTTTAATTTTCTCATTTCTAAAATGGGAATAATAATAGAACCTAGGGTAGCAGTGCAGATCCAGAGAGTTATGCTAAGCACAAAAGCTGCATAAATGATTGGTGAATACATTAACATACAATTTAACTCTGTAGAAAACTTCGCAACAAATGCCAGGTTGTAAGAAAGCACTGCAATTCCTTGTGTGTTCCTGACCACTCTCATTCTTCCTCCCAACTTTCTGCTCATTCACTTCCCTCTAGATCTTGCAGTTACTAAAGAGCCTTAGTTTTTGCCACGTGTACATTATTTCATAATTCTTGGCCTTGTTTTCGATTCCCACTCTCCCTGAGCTTGGTCTCCAAGACTTGTTCTTTTGCTGAGTTGGAAAACTTCCTTCTCCTCTTGCACAACTTCTCTGATTCCACAGCTGTGACACTCCACCTGGCAGGGAGCTCTGCTGTGGACACGGAGCTCACTTGGGGGCCTCAGTCAGGAACACAGAGGCCTCACTGCCTTGACGCAGCAGAGAACACCTTCCTCTGATTCTAGGAAATGCATGAGAAGACCTGCATTGTTTCAAAGCCAACATTTTTCAGGCATTGGACAATTTGATGGTGGAGTTCATTTCCCGCTTCCATCTGGCCTGGTTCAATTTGATCTGTCAAGTATCCTTGGGGCCAGACAGATTGCCAGATTGGGTAATTTTCTCAGAAAAGAGCTATAAAGATGAGGGTTTCAGATGTGCTTTCAGCATGAATCACAAGCTGCAGGCACCAAGGCCAATATGGAGCATATGTCCATCAATGAGGATGGGGGCAAAGCAAAGTGGGAAATACATGTGACATCCTTGGGGCTGCCACAGTTTAAAGAAGAGGTCTGCACCTGTGAATTTTTAGTACTTTTAAAAGGTATTTCCATAACCCTTTAGATTGAATTCACCTTGTTGTTCATTCAACAAAGAATTATTGAGCCTTGAAACAGATAGATATGGCCCTGACAGTCTAGTTGGAAACATTGGCCTGTAAAGTGACAAGTAAAATATAGTGTGATGAGGGCTGTAGTGAGGGAAGCCCAGAGAGTTATGAGATGCTGTGTGAAAGGCCCTCCATCCAGACTTGGTGGGGGTCGTGAAGATGGAGGTGACAGGTGGCAGGGAAGACTTGTCAGAGAAGTTTATCACTTAGCTAAGATCTAAAGAATGAAAGGAAATTAGCTAGTTGAAGAATAATCCAGGAAGAGTAATTCAGGGACAAGAAATAATATGTGTAAAACCCTGGAGGTGAGGGAGCATAACATGTTTGAGAAACAAACACAGTTTCTGAGTGGGACTGGGGTGTAGGCAAAGATGAGGTGAAGACAAGAGAGAGATGTGGGCACTCACTCCCAACTTTTTCCCTCTTTTCCCTTTACTAAAATATTTGCCTGAGCAAAATATGCTCAGGAATATACGTGTTAAAAGAGAAATTCCTTACACTCATAGATTTAGAAATTCTTAAAGTTCGAATGGGACTTTAAAAGCTACCCATTCAGAAAGGAGGCTATCTTAAAGGTGAAACATCCATAAATAAAGAGGCAGCTCAGAACGTTCCTGGGTATGGCAGGATTTTGCAGGATTTGGATCCCAGGATTTGGGCTTATTACTAAGCCATTGTATGAGGCCCTAGCAGAGCCAGAGCATGAACTGCTAGGAGGGGTTTGCACGTAATAAACCATACCTGCTGTTCTTATATTAACAATCAGGGTTAGCTGAACTGCAAGTTCAAAAGATTTACCAACAGGCTATCTGGCTACATAATTTCAATAACCCCAACTACTCAAGCCATTTGGGACTCCATCAAAGGGTACCTACCAAGTGTAACATGGTTCCTAACTTCCTGGGACCTTTAATAGCTATCTTATTCCTACTAATCTTTGGTCCTTGTTTGTTTAGCTTCCTTGTAGTTTGTGTCTTCTAGGTCGCAACAGTTCCATGTCAAAATGATGGTCATGCAAGGATTCCAATTAACTGCTGCCTTGGATTCAGACTCTTTTGATGACCCCTGCTGGGAACACATAAACCAGGCAGACAGAGATTTCCATGCCCTCACTAGGCAGGGCCATCACCCCTAATCAGCAGGAAGTAGATACAGAAGACTAACATTCTCCCTCATTGACCCTTAAGAATAAAGGGATGGAAATCTCTGCAGTGGGGAAAATGAGACAGGAATAATACAGGGTGGTCGCAGGAGAATAGAAAATTCCAGGCAGCAGTTTCACATGACTAGCAAAAGGAAACTGTTAAAATAGCTGCAGAAGCTACAGGCTGATAAGACTGTGAAAAACCAGGGTGTGGACCAAGCTGGCTAAGACCGACTGGACAAAACATGGCACTGGAATTGATCTAGTTTTCACCTAGGACCTCATTATATGCTCATTAACACATTAAATCACACACCCACCTAGCACCATATCAGTACGGGAACACCTATAATTGGTATAAAAATGGATATCATCACAGTTCTGAGATATCCTCACCTTTTTTTCCAGGATTCTTCCTGGCTAAAGAAACCCATAAAAGTGGAAAACTCAAACTCCACAGTGCAAATATCTCTTGAGTCTGCCTGCACTACCCTTTCTTGAATGTGTATTGATAAGACTGCAGTTGACATTTTAAGAAATTTAAATTTCAACCTGAAGTCAATAAGGACACCTCAGAAGTTTTCAAAGGAAGGATGGAGTCTGTTGAAAAGAACCGGTTGGTAAAATGAGAAAAAATGGATTGAAGGAGGTGAGTCCAGGGGCAGAGATACTATTTGAAGTGCAATTTCAATAGTCCAAGGTAGAGGAAATGACCGTATGAACCAGAGCATTGACAATGGGGATGGACAGGGAGGAAAATTCCGAAGAGACTGCTAAAGTGAGATCTATAATAACCTCCACCAGACTGACCTGTTGCTTTTTCATGAATTAGGGCAGTGGTCTTATCCCTGGCTAAACATTAGAATTTCCAGGAGGAGAAGCAGGCCTAGACTGTACCTCGGACCAACTGAATCAAAATCATTAAGGGCAGGGTCCTGATTCTCAGGTGATTCTCTTTGTTTAGCTCTGGTTGAGAACAGATCATCCTAGGGAGAGTTTCCCAGGCCTTTGCTCTCTGGGCTGGGAGAGATTTGGCATTTACTTACATCAGGAAAGCTAGAAATGGAAAAGTGAAAAGTGTACTGTTGCATGGATGAAAGCGTGCAGTATTTAATGTATATCTAGACAGAGCTATCTAGACTTAGAACTGTTATGTAATGTATCACCCAGGCAGAGAAACTATTAACTGCATGGAACACTGGACTATGGGTGAAAACTGAGATTGCCATGGGTGAACCAAAATAAATGGCAACCTTATATTTTGTCACCAATTCTACTGCTCCCATTCTTTCTAGAGCCTTCCCCAATGAGGTTTTCACCCCATTGTTCATAAGAACTTTTATCTTCCAGGTCACCAATTTTTACATGGTTGAACATAATGGTCAATTGTCTGCTCACTTTTTATTTGGTCCAATAGTTGATTTCATTGATTCTTTCTTCACTTAGCTATATACCACACTCCTCTGGTTTTCCTCTCAGCTTACTGGCTAGTTTTCCTTTGTGCTGGCTCCTTATAACTCCCTGACCTTTTAATATCAAAGTGTACCTGGGTTCAGTCCCAGGCCCCATCTTCTTTGTCTCTCTCCACCCTTTTGACAATGTCATCCAGTTTCATTGATTGGAATGTTATTGTTATGCTGACAAGTTCCAAATTTATGTTTCTAGCCCTGGACCTCTTCTGTGAATTCTAGACTCTTCTTCCAAATGCCAATTTGACACCTCATCTGGGTGATAAAAGAACCTGACTTCAGCTTTCCGGCAACTGAACTCCAGCATCCCCCTGCCCCTGCACAAGATCTGTTTTTCTCACAGTCCTCCTCATTTTAATAAACACTAACCCCTTTCATCTAGCTGCTCAGACCAGAAAACTTATTGCCTTTCCCATGTCCTCTCTTTTTCCTAATCCCCAC
Organism: Homo sapiens; assembly: GCF_000001405.40. Lineage (NCBI taxonomy): Eukaryota > Metazoa > Chordata > Mammalia > Primates > Hominidae > Homo > Homo sapiens. The sequence goes on along the minus strand of NC_000001.11, from coordinate 56,252,391 downwards.
ATTTAATCTGTCAGCAAGTGCCTTCATAATACACCCAGCATTTGCCCACCTCTTATCCCACAACTGCCTTCATTCTGTGCTAAGCCGCCATTGTTTAGTGCCTAAATGATTTCATCAATAGGTCTCTGTGCTTCTGTTCTGCTTCCCCTGCTGACTCTTCTCAACTCCACAACCAAATTAATGCTTTTAAAATACATGCCGGTTGATCTCACTTTGCTGTTCAAAATCTCCAATGGCCTCCCATCCCATACAGAGAAGAGGTCAATCTTTACAATGACCTTCAATGCTCTGTACTCTCACCTCCCATCTCTGGCCTCATCTGCTCCCACCATCTCCTTCACTTACACTGCTCTACCTACACTTGCATCAGACTTGATTCTAAAATACACCACTCTGGGTGACTTAGACACTTTGGGCTGCGATCAATAAATTTCTCAGGAGTTCTGGAGGCTGGAAGTCCGGGATCAAGGTGGCAGTTTGATCAGTTTCTGGTAGGTGCCTTCTTCCGGGGTGTGGACAGCCAACTTCTTATATACTCCTATGGAGTAAGAGAGCTCTCTGGGGGTCACTTTTATAAGGACACTAATCCCATTTTTGAAGGCTCCCCCCATGATCTAATCACCATCCAAAGGCCCCACCTCCTGATACCATCACATTGGGGGTTAGGGTTTCAACATATGAATTTGGGGAGGACACATTCAGGCCATTGACTGTAGCAGATGATCATTTTTCTAACTTGGACCCTTAATATTACTGCCACCTCTCGGCCTTCGATGTTTCTTCTGCTTTAATGCCTTACACCAGGTATCCCTCTAGTCACTCTTTTATTTCCTTTGAGTCTTTACTGCAAAGGCAACTTCCGTAAGAGGTCTTGGAGGAACACTCCTTAAGGTATCACCTTCCTTCTCCCCCAGCACAAAATGTATACTCTATCTCCTTTTATGCTATTTCCCTATAGTATTTTTCATAACTTGATGCACTTCATATTATACTAACTTATTTATTATTTGTCTTTCACCCATTTAAATATAAGTAAACATAGGAGCAAAGATTTATTTTCTGCATCCCTAGTGCTTAGAAGAGTGTCTAAAATATGACAGGTGCTCAATAACTATTTTATGAATAAGTAAATTGAATTAGAGGAGTTGGAGTGAAGGCTGAAGTCTGGTTTTCAAGAGGATGGCATCATGATGCTTTTGTAGGGGCCCACTGTGGGAAGCTAAGGGCAACAGAAGTGGATCTCCTGTGTGGATGGATCAGGGGTCATTCAATTCAGCAAACATTTATTGAGGGCTTATTCTACATTAGGAGAGTTTCAGAGCTGCTTCTGACCTGGAGAAGCTCACATGCTACCGAAAGACAGGAATATAAACCATGATGTTAAGCAGAATCATGTGTGCACAAAAAGGAAGGATAAACATGGGGAGTAGAAGCAGAAAGGGAGGAGAGATTTGTTCAGAGGAGGAAGGGAGACTTACCAGGGAAACTTCCAAAGAGAAGGTGTCATGGCATTGCTTTTGTATCAGATGAAGAGAACTTCAATAGAGGGAGGGTGGAGTACAGTGCACAGCATGGAAATAGAAACGAATAGGATGTGTTTGGTCAGTGGGGAAGAGATCATCATGAGTGCCTCATGAAGTAAATGGGCAGAGTTAGTGAGATACAGACAGGTAGGTGAAAGCCAGACCATTTGGGTGAGGGGAGCAGTGCCGTGTTGGAGAATTTGGCTGTTATTCAGTAGAGAGCTGATTACATTTTGGAGACCTTAAGTGATGTGATGTAACTGACTTCGTAACATAATAACTCAGTCTGAAGCAATGGAAGAGACCAGAAATTTCAAAATCAGTTAGGAGGCCATTTTTCAGATGAAAGGTTATGAACTTAAGGTGAGTAATGGACATCTACTTGCCCATTGTCTTCATTCTTCACCTACCTAAATCCTTACCACCTTTTAGATTGAACACTTCTTCTCGGAGGCCTTCCTGAGTTCCCCAAGATCCCTTTTTGTGCCTTTAATCTGTTAATTTGTTCATTCATTTAGTCTACAAATATTGAGTAAACATCTCTTTGCTACAACTGTGACAAGTGTAGTAATGCAATAATAACAAAATAGATATGGATTATACTAAGGGCTAGAAAGGAAAAGAATAAAGGGGGATATAAGGAAATAAATAACAGGAAAACTTAATTTAAGGTCAGGAAACTCCTCTCTAAGGAAGCCACATTTAGATTCTTTGACTGAAAAGCAGATGCTGACCAAGTGAAGATAGGAGAGGAAAACCAAACCAGGCAGAAGAGATACATGTGCCAAGGCACCACAATGGTGGGAAGAGTCTGTTTCCCTTTCTAGAATATAAGTACTATATCTTTAGCACTCAGTAGAGTAGCTGGGGCATAATAAGTGCTTAGAAAATATTAGTTTAGTGAATGATTCTAGCCATGAGTCAAGTCTAAATGTGATTGGCTATTTAGCAGACACCTTGGAGCCTGTCTCTCCAAATACAATATGATTTCATTCCACTGTGGCTTGTATTTAATTCAATTATTGATATGGGCAATAACAGTGATCACCCCTATTCTTGGATACAACCTGGAAATAAACAGAAGAAACCTGGTGTGTGTGTGTGTGTGTGTGTGTGTGTGTGTGTGTGTGTAACCGAATTGTAGAGTTACTTGGTTGATTATAACACTAGCTCTCATAAATGATTTTTATTGCAAAATTTTTTTTGGTGAGGAATCAGCTTAGGAGGGTTTCAGAGCTGAAAACAGCTCTGGAAATCAGGTTTCCTAACCCTTTGTTATAAATTGAGACCTAAAAACGCTTACTGTCTTGTTTGTGGTTGGACATATGGTTATGCAAAAATAGTAAGGCAGGGATATTGGAGGTAAGAGGAAGTTTTCAAAGCCTGAACAATAGTTCCTCAATGCTCAAAAGGCTGAGAAAGAATTCTAATGGGTAGTGGGGCGGGAAGTGGGTGGGGAGCAGGATTGTTGGTAAATGATAAAAAAAAAAAAAAAAGTTCTGAATTTGCTCCTAAAAAGAAGGAACTAAAAAGGGACTGTTTTTTTTTTTTTCCAGATATGGCCTTTAAGACTGTGAAATAACAGAAAACCCCAATGAATCTAGTTTACTTCAGAGAGCTGTAAAGATTTTACAGAGCAATTTTCATTAGTCTTTGCTTTTTCTCCAGACCCAAGTGACCACCTGGTAATTACTTCAACAGCAGAGCGACTCATACAGCCGGCAGTCCACTTTGTTCTTCTATAGATCCTGCCTGTGGTGTTGGATCTAACAGCTTCTTCCCTGACCCAAGATTATGAAGGATTTCTCCTGTGTTCTCTTCTAAAAATTTTACATTTAGGTACATAATCCATTTTGAGCTAATTCTTTTAAATAGTGCAAAGTATGGATTGAAGTTCTTTTTTTTTTTTTTTTTTGCAGATACATATTTAATTTTTCCAGCACCATTTGTTGAAAAGACTAATGTTCTTGCCTGAATAGCCTTTGCATTGTTGTTGAAAATCATGTTCACACATGTACACATTCCACTGATCTATTTGCCTCTTTGTGAAAATACTACTATTTTGATTAATATATATTTATAGGGAGTCTTAAAATCATATCTTAAAAAGATAGTGGAAGTTATTTAACCTTACTCTTGCTTTTAGAAATTGTTTTGGATATTCTAGATCTTTTGTGTTTCCATATAAATTTTATAATCAGTTTGGCAATTTATTTAAAATATTCTTCTGGGATTTTGATGGACATTACACTGAATCGATGGATCGCTTTGGGGACAACTGACATCTTAACAATATTGAGTCATCTAACATATGATCATGGAAATTGCTCCATTTATTTAGATCTTCTTTCACATCTTGAAGCAGTGTTTTGCGTTTTCAGTGTATAGGTATTTAATAGATTTAAAAATATGATCCCTAAATATTCAATGTTTTTGATGCTATTGGAATTTTAAAAAATTAATTTCTGTTCTGAGGAAGGAAAATAATAAAAGATTAAACAAGAAAAATAAAAATAATCAAAATAAAAGATAAATCATTGACAAATATAATAAAAAATAAAATAATAACAAAAAATATAAAAAATTAATTTCTTATTTTTTTGCTAGCATATGGATATGTAATTGATCTTTGGATTATTGATTTTGTATCCTGCAGGCTGGTTAAACTCATTTACTTCTAATACCTTTTTTTGGGAAGAATCAATTGGATTTTCTACATAGATGATCATGTCATCTGTGAATAAAGTCAGTTTATTTTTTTATTTTTATTTTTTTTCTTTCAGCACTTTTTTTCTTTCTTTTTTCTTTTTATTATACTTTAAGGGGGAATTGAACAATGAGTACACGTGTACACAGGAAGGGGAACATCACACACCGGGGCCTGTTGTGGGGTGAGGGGAGGGGGGAAGGATAGCATTAGGAGATATACCTAATGTTAAATGACGAGTTAATGGGTGCAGCACACCAACATGGCACATGTATACATATGTAACAAACCTGCACGTTGTGCACATGTACCATAAAGTCAGTTTAACATCTTCCTTCCCAATCTTGATGTCTTTTATTTCTTTTTGTTGTCTGAAAACTCTCTTAAGAAGTACACCAGGGCAATCATGGGATTCAGCTTTTTTGTTTCTCATGTCTTAATGATTACTCTCTGCTTTTGCCTGATGTTCACTGCTTTGAAGACCATTATTTCACATACATAGTCTGGTTTTTGATTATATATGGCAGGAGGGTAAATCCAGTGTCTTTTACTCCATCTTGACCAGAAGCAGAAGTTTTCCCAATCTGCATTTAAGATAAAGGCAAAAGATGAGATTTTAAAAATATTCTTCAGATCTTTTGGCAAATTCATATCCACTGCCTGCAGAGCTTCTTGAGTCCATGTGTTTAATTTCTCATGGGAGCAGACCAAGCATGGAGAGATGCTCTTCCTAGGGGAGCCACAGGGGCCAAAAGATCTGAATTATTTTCTAGGTCATAGTGATAGTAACAAAGCAGTTCCTTTCATATGTGTAGTCTTTCATGGTGTATAGAATGCTTTTGCATTCATGAGCTCAGCTGAGCTTCACAGCATCATTAGACAATAATGGCTATGAGGGGGTGGGTGAGTATTGACAAAGAATTGGATGCTTGGAGAAATGAAATGAATTTCCTAAGAATATACAGCTAAGGAGAGGAGCTAGGGGAGCTGCTACGCGAGTCCTGGGTTGTCTGACTCCTTATCCAACTCTTTTGTTTTTGAAGACAATTCTTTTTTTTTTTTTTTTTAAACCACATTTTGTTTATTCACCAGTTGCTGGACATGCAAAAAACACTCTTTTAGCTATTTTGAAATTTCCACTTTATGCATATTATAAACACTACTGCCATGAACATTCACATATAGGTTTTTGTGTGGACATCTGTTTTCAGTTCTCTTGGGTATATGCCTGAGTAGAATTGTTGGGTCGTATGGTAACTCTGTTTAAATTTTTGAGGAACTGCCAAACTTCCAAAGTGACTCCACCATTTTACAATCCTAGGAGCAATGTGTGATGGTTCCAATTTCTTTACATCTTCACCACTTGTACTGTGTCTGTGAGTCAGTCTAGTAGGTATGAACTATCTTTTCGTGTGTTCATTAGCCATGTTGGAGAACCGTGTTCAGATTCTGACCATCTTTTTTCTTTTTATTATTGAATTTTAAGAGTTCTTTATAATTCTGGATATAGGTCCCTTATCAGATACAAATGCTTGTCAATTTAGGATGGGTTACGTCCTGGTAAACCCATTGTAAAGTTAAAAAAATCTCAAGTTGAGACCAGGTGCGGTGGCTCAGGTGTGTAATCCCAGCACCTTGGGAGGCCAAGGCAGGCAGACCACGAGGTCAAGAGATCGAGACCATCCTGGCCAACATGGTAAAACCCCGTTTCCACCAAAAATACAAAAATTAGCTGGGCGTGGTGGCGTGCACCTGTAGTCCCAGTTATTCGGGAGGCTGAGGCAGGAGAAGCACTTGAACCCAGGAGGCAGAGGTTGCAGTGAGCTGAGATTGAGCCACTGCATTGCGTTCCAGCCTGGCAACAGAGCGAGACTCCGTCTCAAAAAAAAACAAAAAAAGGAAAAAGGAATCTCAAGTTAAACCATCATAAGTTGGAGGCCATTTGTATATGATTTGCAAATATTTTCTCCCATTCGGAGGCTGACTTTTCACTTTCTTGATGGTGTCCTTTGAACAGAGCATACACGTCTCTAATTTTGATGAAGTCCAGTTTATCTGTATATTTTTCTTATTGTTGCTTGTGCTTTTGGTGTCATATCTAAGAAACCACTGCATAATTCAGGGTTATGAAGATTTACTCCTGTATCTTCTTCTAAAGGTTTTACAGTTTTATCTCCACCCTTCGGTTTTCAAGTATTCTCTTTAGAAATGCCCAAAGACCTTTCTGCCAAACAGAAAAGTCAAGAATCCATGGTGTCCCTCACTTGCAAATGAAGTAATATGAACAACTTCCCACCCAAGAGTCCCTGTATTTACTACTTTTTATCTACTTTTTGATCATGTGCTCAGAAAGGACCTTAGTTCTTAGTGTGGAACAAACAGAATTCATTAAATGTAGTAGTCTAGGAATATTTGCAGAGCTTGTGCTATGTGCTGGGCAACAAACTAGGCGCTGGGGATACAAGTGAGACCACTCAAGTCTGCAAAGAGCTCACAGGCAGTTGGTAATGATCAGAAACAAGAAACTACAGGGGCACCAGAACTGTGATTAAAAAAAAAGTGGCCCCTCATGGTACCATTCCTTCTGAAACTATTCCAATCAATAGAAAAAGAGGGAATCCTCCCTAACTCATTTTATGAGGCCAGCATCATCCTGATACCAAAGCCTGGCAGAGACACAACCAAAAAAAGAGAATTTTAGACCAATATCCTTGATGAATATTGATGCAAAAATCCTCAATAAAATACTCTAAACTGAATCCAGCAGTACATCAAAAAGCTTATCCACCATGATCAAGTGGGCTTCATCCCTGGGATGCAAGGCTGGTTCAACATATGCAAATCAATAAACATAATCCAGCATATAAACAGAACCAAAGACAAAAACCACATGATTATCTCAATAGATGCAGAAAAGGCCTTTGACAAAATTCAACAACCTTTCACAACCCTTCATGCTAAAAACTCTCAATAAATTAGGTATTGATGGGACGTATCTCAAAATAGTAAGAACTATTTATGACAAACCCACAGCCAGTATAATACTGAATGGACAAAAACTGGAAGCATTCCCTTTGAAAACTGGCACAAGACAGGGATGCCCTCTCTCACCACTCCCATTCAACATAGTGTTGGAAGTTCTGGCCAGGGCAATCAGGCGGGAGAGGGAAATAAAGGGTATTCAATTAGGAAAAGAGGAAGTCAAATTGTCCCTGTTTGCAGATGACATGATTGTGTATCTAGAAAACCCCATCGTCTCAGCCCAAAATCTCCTTAAGCTGATAGGCAACTTCAGTAAAGTCTCAGGATACAAAATCAATGTGCAAAAATCACAAGCATTCTTATACACCAATAACAGACAAACAGCCAAATCATGAGTAAACTCCCATTCACAATTGCTTCAAAGAGAATAAAATACCTAGGAATCCAACTTACAAGGGATGTGAAGGACCTCTTCAAGGAGAACTACAAACCACTGCTCAATGAAATAAAAGAGGATACAAACAAATGGAAGAACATTCCATTCTCATGGGTAGGAAGAATCAATATCATGAAAATGGCCATACTGCCCAAGGTAATTTATAGATTCAATGCCATCCCCATCAAGCTACCACTGACTTTCTTCACAGAATTGGCAAAAACTACTTTAAAGTTCATATGGAACCAAAAAAGAGCCCGCATTGCCAAGTCAATCCTAAGCCAAAAGAAAAAAGCTGGAGGCATCATGCTACCTGACTTCAAACTATATTACAAGGCTACAGGAATCAAAACAGCATGGTACTGGTACCAAAACAAAGATATAGACCAATGGAACAGAACAGAGCCCCCAGAAATAATGCCGCATATCTACAACCATCTGATCTTTGACAAACCTGACAAAAAGAAGCAATGGGGAAAGGATTCCCTGTTTAATAAATGGTGCTGGGAAAACTGGCTAGCCATATGTAGAAAGCTGAAACTGGATCCCTTCCTTACACCTTATACAAAAATTAATTCAAGATGGATTAAAGACTTAAATGTTAGACATAAAACCATAAAAACCCTAGAAGAAAACCTAGGCAATACCATTCAGGACATAGGCATGGGCAAGGACTTCATGTCTCAAACACCAAAAGCAATGGCAACAAAAGCCAAAATTGACAAATGGGATCTAATTAAACTAAAGAGCTTCTGCACAGCAAAAGAAACTACCATCAGAGTGAACAGGCAACCTACAGAATGGGAGAAAATTTTTGCAATCTACTTATCTGACAAAGGGCTAATATCTAGAATCTACAATGAACTCCAACAAATTTACAAGAAAAGAACAAACAACCCCATCAACAAGTGGGCGAAGGATATGAACAGACACTTCTCAAAAGAAGACATTTATGCAGCCAAAAGACACATGAAAAAATGCTCATAATCACTGGCCATCAGAGAAATGCAAATCAAAACCACCATGAGATACCATCTCACACCAGTTAGAATGGCAATCATTCAAAAGTCAGGAAAAAACAGGTGCTGGAGAGGATGTGGAGAAATAGGAACACTTTTACACTGTTGGTGGGACTGTAAACTAGTTCAACCATTGTGGAAGTCAGTGTGGCGATTCCTTAGGGATCTAGAACTAGAAATACCATTTGACTCAGCAATCCCATTACTGGGTATATATCCAAAGGATTATAAATCATGCTTCTCTAAAGACACCTGCACACGTATGTTTCTTGTGGCATTATTCACAATAGCAAAGACTTGGAACCAACCCAAATGTCCAACAATGATAGACTGGATTAAGAAAATGTGGCACATATACACCATGGAATACTATGCAGCCATAAAAAATGATGAGTTCATGTCCTTTGTAGGGACATGGATGAAGCTGGAAGCCATCATTCTCAGCAAACTATCGCAAGGACAAAAAACCAAACACCGCATGTTCTCACTCATAGGTGGGAATTGAACAATGAGAACACCTGGACACAGGAAGGGGAACATCACACACTGGGGCTTGTTGTGGGGTGGGGAGACGGGGGAGGGATAGCATTTGGAGATATACCTAATGTTAAATGATGAGTTACTGGGTGCAGCACACCAACATGGCACATGTATACATATGTAACTAACCTGCACGTTGCGCACATGTACCCTAAAACTTGAAGTACAATAAAAAAAAAGTGGCCCGTCATAATGCAGTGGGGGTTGGGGTGGAGGGCATTCTCCAAAGTGAGTCCTAAAGGAAAAAGCACATGCAAAGGCCTGAAGCTGACAAGTACATGGTATGTATTGAGAACTGCAAAGAGCTTATTATGACAGGGTGATCAGGAGCAAGAAGAGTTCAAGAGAAACAGACATTCTAGAGAGAAGTTAGCCAGAAAGGTAAAGCAGCTACCATGACCATTGTGTTGTGCTAGATGTTGTGGATACACAGTGAACACCTGGCCTTTTGGTGCTGGCACCAGTTAGCACAATTTCATTTCATGCAACTATAAGACCAAATGGTTAACCTTGGCCTTTGAATATTTTTAATTGACAAATAATAATTGTAGGCTGGGCGTGGTGGCTCACACCTGTAATCTCAGCACTTTGGGAGGCCAAGGCAGGCAAATCATGAGGTGAGGAGTTTGAGACTAGCCTGGCCAACATGGTGAAACCCCGTCTCCACTAAAAATACAAAAAATTAGCTGGGCATAGTGACGGGTGCCTGTAATCCCAGCTACTCAGGAGGCTGAGGCAGGAGAATCGCTTGAACCCAGGAGGTGGAGGTTGCAGTGAGCTGAGATCATACCACTGTACTCCAGCCCAGGCAACAGAGCGAGACTCCGTCTCAAAAAAAAAAAAAAAGACAAATAATAATTGCATATATTTATGGGACACTATGTGATGTTTCATTACGTGTATACACTGTGGTATAATCCAATCAGGCTAATTAATAGATCCATGACCTCAAATATTTATCATTTCTTTGTGGTGAGAACAATTAAAAAACCCTTTCTCTTGGCTGGGCACTGTGGCTCACACCTGTAATCGTAGCACTTTGGGAGGATGAGTTGGGAGGATTGCTTGAAGCCAGGAATTCAAGACCAGCCTGGGCAACATAGTAAGATCCTGCCTCTACAAAAAATAAAAAAAATATTGTGAAGACAATTTTTTAGAGAAGTTTTAGGTTCATAGCAAAATTGAGAGGAGAGTGCAAAGATTTCCCATATAGTCCCTGAACCAACACATGCATAGCCTCCCCCATTATCAACATCTGTCATTATAGTGGTACATTTGTTACAATTAATTTATATGAGGAAAGCTATAAAATCCACATTTCATTAGATTTATACCTAAGTATTTCATTTTTAGGAGTGCTAATGAAAGTGGTATTGTGTTTTTAATTTCAAATTCCACTTGTTCATTGCTGGTCTATAGGAAAGCAATTGGCTTTTGCATATCAACCTTGTATCCTGCAAACTTGTTATAATTTTTTATTAGTTCCGGTTTATTTTGCCAGTTCTTTCAGGTTTTTTATATAGACAATTATGTTATCTGCCAACAAAACCAGTTTTATTTCTTCCATCCAATCTGCCTTTTATTTCCTTTTCTTGTCTTATTGCATTAGCTAGGGCTCTCATTATGATGTTAAAAGGAGTGGTGAGAGGGGACATTCTTGCCTCATTTCTGATCTTAGTGGAAAAATTTCTACATTCTCACTATTAAGTATGATATTAGCTATAGTTTATTTTAATAGATATTATTTATCAAGTTGAGGAGGTTCTTCTCTATTCCTAGCTTACTGAGAGTTTTTGTCATGAATGGGTATTGGGTTTTATCAAATGCTTTTCTGCATCTATTGATTTGGTCAAGTAATTTTTCTATTGGGCCTGTTGATGTGATGATTACATTAATTTTTTTTTTTTTTGAGACACGGTCTCACTTTGTCACCCAATATGGAGTGCAGTGGCTCAATCATAAATCACTGCAGCCTTGACCTCCTCTGCTCAAGTGACCCTCCTGCCTCCGTCCCCTGAGTAGCTAGGACTACAGGCACATACCACCACACCTAGCTAATTAAAAAGATTTTTTGTAGATACTGGGTCTCACTTTGTTGTGCAGGTTGATTTGGGCTCAGGTAATCCTCCTCCCTCAGCTTCCCAATGTGTTGGGATTACAGGCATGAGTCACCATGCCTGGCCAATATTAATTGAATTTTGAATGTTGAATCAGGCTTGCATTCCTGGGGAAGAAAAATCTCACGTGGTTACAGTGTATAACTCTTTTTATACATTGTTGTATTCCATTTGCTAATATTTTGTTGAGGACTTATACATCTATATTCATGAAAGATATTGGTCTGTAGTTTTCTCATAATAGGTTGTTTTCCTGTAGTGTTTCCCAGTCTGGATTTCACTGATTATACCTCTGTGGTACAGTTAAAATGTTCTTCTGTCTTCTGTAGTTCCTAAAAATTAGTTTGGTATTTCACTCTTTTTTGAAAAATAAAAACTTATTATGGAGAATTTCAAACATACCAAAGCAGCTAAAATTGTATAATGAATTCCCACATATTCATCATGTGGCTTTAATAGTTACCAGCTCCTGGGCACTCTTTCTCTATCTATACCCCCATCTACTTACTGCCACTTCATACTAATAAATCTCAGCTGTAATATAATTACACAGGTAAATATTTCAATACGTACACTAAAAGATAAGGGGTATGTAAAAATATATACTCATAATACCATTTTATGTCTAACATTAGCAATGATTCTTTAATATCATCAAGGATGCAGGACATCTAAAAATTTATAGTGGTCTCAGAATGTCATAATTTTTTAAATAGTTCATTTGAATCAGGATCCAGTAAGTTCCCCACATCGTAATTTTAATGTATATGTTTCTTCTCCAACTTGTTTTCTTCCTTTTGTAATTTATTTGTTGGAAAAAAAAACAAAACAGGTTGTTTGCCTGTAGTGTTTGCCATTCTGGGTTTTGCTGATTGTACCTCTGTGGTACAGTTTAACATGTTCTTCTGTTTTCTGTAGTTCCTGAAAATTACTAGTTGTAACTAGAGGTTTGATCAGATTCAGGTTTAATTTTTTTATTTTAACAAGACAACTTTATAGGTGGCACTGTGTTCCTCCTCAGTAGGTACATAATCTCTACTTGTTTTTCGTGATGTTAGCAGCCATTGATGCTTAAAGCCTTAATTCATTGTGGGCTGCAAAATGGTAATATTCTAATTCTATCACTTGTCTGGAATTTTTTTCCTTTATATTCTCATATATTCTACAAAGTGACTTTAAACATATTAGCTTATCTGCTTGTAAATAACCCTTAAGGTAGGACAGATGTGTATTAGGCTGCTACAAAATGGCCCTCCAGAGAATCATGTTTCTCTGTGACCATGTTCCTTTTTGCAGTTTGATTTTGCCTTCCTCCCATCAAACGGTTGGGGTGGATTCTCTTTTCCTTGTCCTTGATTCTGGGCTGGCTGTGTAACTTGTTTTGACCAATAGAATATGGAAGAATTGATACTGTGTGAGGCTATGGTACAAGAGACTATATATTTTCTGGTTTCCCCCTCTTGGAACATCACTGTCATGTAAAAAGGCCCAGTCTCACTCCTTGAGTATAGAAGACACTATACAAATATAGATGCTCAGAATCTTAGCTGTGTCCCTTGAGCCTAGATCTCAAATGACCCACCAGTTAAGTGCTGCTCCATGAATGGGCCCAGGCAAAATCACCAGAACCGCCCAACCAACACAGAACTGTAAGACATAAACTCCTGATATTTCAAGTTACTAAGATTTGGGGTGATTTGGTGTGCAGTAAAGGCTAATGAAATGGAAGGATGTTATCTACATTTTACGGATGAGAAAAATAAGGCCCAGATAGGGGATACATCCAACCTACAGGGCTGTAGGACAAGATAAGAGTTTAGGAATTTTAACTCCTAATTCAGTGTTCTTGCCATTTATATTTTCCTTTCTCTTTCCCAAATTTACTGGCCATCTTAATCTAAACTCTGTTATCTCACAGCAACCTCTGAGGCTTCCCAGCACATCAAGAAACCCTATGAACTGAGCTGCATTTAATAACTAGCTATTAGCTGGGGCTCTAAAAACTTTGTTAAGGAAAATAGAAACTGAACATCTTTAGTAAAGTTTCAACCTGGGCTCTACTTTTAACTCCTATCATCATTCAATCTTTGGAAACAAAAACTTGAAAATTACCAAATTGGGGGTGAATATGAGGAAAGGCTTGCAATGTGCATAGTGTTAAGGGCTTAAAAAAATACCCAAGCATAACAACAACTCTCTGTGTAAATCAAGTAAGTGTTGACTGATTCTATCAATTTGTAAGTCCAAACAACTTCCAGATGGTTCAAATAATAATAAAAGTATCTTATATTTGATTAGTGCCTTTCAGTTTACAACGCGGTTTCACATCTGTGTCTTCATTCCAACCTCACAATGGAGCCTGTCAGGAAGGTAGGCTAGGGGTCATCACTTCCGTTTTTCTAGATGAGGAAACTGAGTCCTATAAGAAAAAGTGACTTGCACAAAGCCAGTGACTAAGCAACTAGAAGAGGCAAGATTAAACCAAATCTTCTGATTTCACGGTCAACAATTTTTCCACTACCTTGCCTTTATTCTTGCCTATAAAGTCTCCTGAGAAAATCCTCTATCCATTTCCATTTTAATAACATGAAAGACATAAGCAAAAATCATAAGAACACAAAATGGAGGAGCTCACAGCCTGGCAGAGCAATAGATATGGAGACACATCCTTAGGACAACAACAACAACAATAATAATAGTAATAGTTAACATTAATTGAATGCTGTATGTCTAATCCTGTTCTGAAAGTCTTACATATCTGATTGAATTATCAAGACAATTGTATAAGGCCTGCACTGCTAGTATCCTCATTTTATAGATGAGACAACTGAAGCATAAACGTATTTTAAGTAAGGAACTTCTTACACACAACTTGTATGTGATAGAGCTGAGATAGTAAGTTTGATAGTAAAATCTTGTAGAAGGTGAACAGGAACACAAAGAAGAGGATTCCTAGTTTCTCAGGAAAAGTCTGGAAAGGCTTCATTGAAGATAGTTTACATGGATTAGGACATGAAGGATCTTGGGTTTGTCAGGAGCCATGGGCAGTGTGATGGGCAGGTGGCATGTTAGAGAATGGCACGGTCGTGGAATCAGGAACAGTTCAATATGCTGAAACTTACTAGCAAAGTGTTACTACACAGAGAGATACATAAACAGACAACCACAAGGACAATTGCAACTCATGTGCTTGTACAATAATGGGTGGTTTTGGTATTTATTAATCTTTTTCACCTCAGCACAGCAGAACTCTCAGACCAGGAAAGCAAGGCTAATGTGTTTCTCTTGTTCAGTTTCAGCTAGGTTCATTAGCTTGCTTCTGTATCTTTCGGCCAACTTTCATTTGGGATGTTTACTCTACAGTTTCACGCTAGTCCATGCTTGGCAGACCACTTCTCAGTATCAGTGCTAATTATCATTATTATCAAGAATTTTAATTAGTATAATTACCACCAACATACATTTTGATTAATGCTAATTAACAGTAATTTCTAAGTTTCATTATTATAACTGAGATTTAATAATTTAATTAATATACCAATTAATAACATATTTATATGGGACTTAATTTGCAAAGTGGTTTCAGATATAAAATCCCACTTGATCCACCCCGAAACTCCAGATAGTTGGCAGGGTGTGGGTTATTAACCCCATTTTATAGACGAGGAGGCTTAGGTAAGAGAAATACCAAAACCCATTCAGTTTCCTGCCTCCCGGTCTAGTTCTATTTCTTCCTCAATCTCTCCATCTACAATTACTTTGAGTTTCACCCCAAGGTGAAGACTTTCCGCCACCATGGCATGTCTCATTCATTGTCCTACCTACAGGAAGATAGCAAGAGATTTAAAAGGAGTGCAGGCTACAGATCCAACTTGGGTATCAATTCTGCTGTGCTGTATGTGAGCTGGGCGACTTTGAGAAAAATCACTTAATCTCTCTGAGTCACAGTTGTCCTTTCTGTAAAAAGATGATCGTGTTGTCTACCATATGTAGAGGTAATATATTTAAAGCAGTAGTCAATAAATGGCAGCCATTATTATTGTCTCTTTTGGGTCCTAACTGCTGGTGCCCATGAGGAGCATCTCTCCTATAACTAACTGCCTTCAATTTAATGCTCACAAATGCAATAGGCGAGCCTTCGTGATATTAAGTGAGAGAACAGACCATCTTCTGGGCTAACAGCCACTTTGGAGCCTGACTCCCAATTTTCTCAAATACCTACCCGCTTTGGCCAATTTTTTTTGTATCTCACAGACTGTAGTTCTCTCTCTCAGGCATTCGTGGTCTGGGAAAAATAGCTAAGACCATGAAGATCTTTATAACTGAGTGGGCTTTGGTGTGTAATTGGCCCTACAAAAGGAAACAAAACCACCATGTATTGATATCTACGTGGATGATTCAAGCATTTTGCATATCTTATTTAATTCTCAAAAAAACATGTAAAGAAAAAAATTATTGTTTGTCCCATTTTCATATGGAGAAACAGGCTGAGAGTAAGCGATTTCCCCCCTAACACAAAAAGTCCCATGAGTGACATCACTAAAGTTTGAATACAGGTTTTTCTGGCTCAAAAAGCTGGTGCTCTTTTTACATACCACCTGATAAAACTTTCTCTCTAACCATCTTTCTGCAGGTCCTGGGCTTTCTCTGCTAGAAGAGGCTGAATTCCTGGAGTACCTAGAGTACAGAGCTGGTGAATGACCTCTTATCTCCCTGCTCTAGCCTGTCCTATGTAACTTGGTCCCAGCCACCTCTCCTGTGGACTTTTCCTTCTTCTGAGCTTTTCCAGATGCTGGGCTGAGCACAGATTCTGGTTTGATGGCATCTAGTCTGCAGGAAAACATAGTTTGGCTTTGACCAGCACCTGATAGACTCTTCTGCTCTTTTGGACTAGTCTTCTAGACACTAATGGCAGTGGAATTTGACCTTCTGGTCTTCCTTTTATGTTTGCTAAAATAAATGAAGCCAGTAATCCCAACAGATAACCCAGTATTCCCACCACATGGCTCAGGACTGCCCCCATTCGAGGTCTGTGATCCTGAGCATCTTTCACCAACAAATATACCACTACTAATCATTAAGGTGACGGTTTACTGAAATCCTGCTGAATACTAAGCCAGGTGCTGGTTGTTTCACATAACTTATCTCCAATCCTTTCATCATTCTGCAAGATAGTAATTAGTATTGCAATTTAACATTTAAATGGAGGCCCAGAGAAGTTAAGTAACTTCTCAAGGTAACACAGCACAACACATCATTAGCTTCCTTTCATACCTTTTCTTTATTTCTTCCTGATTCTTTTCTCCAAATGTATCTCTAAGGAGCTCTCCTTAGCCCTGTCCTCCTCTCTCTTGATGATTTCCCCTGTATTATACTTTCTTCTGGCTTCTGCTCTTATATCTATGTGGATGACTTCTAAAATGGCAGTTCCAACAGTGGCCCATCTACGTTGTCCAAGAAAGGCCTTTAGAAGTCCCATTAATGTCTTAACATATCTTAACCTATCACTTGTCTTTACCCTTAAACCTGCTCTTTCTCTGTCTTTGAGAACATGTCCACTCTCTGGCACTCAAGTTCACAGTCTTGGTATTCTTATGGGCAGATTCTCCTTTTCACTCACCTACTCTGACACTCAGTCACTAAGTCTGGCCCTTCTCCTCCATTCTCTTGATGGTGAGTCCTATTCAGTATCTCATTATCTCCCACCTGGCTGATTGCAATAGCTTTCTTCAAATCTCTCTGCTGTTATTCTCCTTGTCCTCCTCCTTCTTAGACCCTGTGGCAAGATTTTGTCTTGGAAACACCTCCTTGCCTCAGGAGCCGCTGGTAGACCAGCAGCCTCCATGATCCAGCCCAAGCTACTTTCCCAACCTAGTTCCCCATGATTCCCCTGCATGTCCCATTTGTACCAGCAAACCAAGCAACTCACTTTCCCAGAGTATGTACTCAATTCTATTCCCTGAGTGCGCGCACACACACACACACACACACACACACACACACACACACACAGAGTGCAGTTTTGCTTATGATGTCATGGAATGTTCACAAAGGAGGTGACATAGGAGCCAAATCCTTGGGAAAGGAGCAGTTAGGCAGCTGTCTAAGAAGGGGCAGGGTATTAAAAGCAGAGAAAAGCACTTGCCAAGACAATGGTGAAGTAAAAAGAGCACGGCTCATTCAGGAAACTACCAGGATTTCAGAATGTCCATGTGGCAGAGCAAAGTTTGGGAGTCAAATAGACCTGGGTTTGGGTCTTAACTCTGTCACCTTTGTGGTCAGCTCTGTGATCCTGAACAGGTTTCTTAACTTTCTGAATCTCAGTATAATAAAGGTAAAAATATCTCATAGGAAGTTTCTGAGAACTTGTGAAAAACTTTTATGTAGGAGGTATGTAGAGGGTCCTCCCTAAAATTTGGCTATGATGTTAGTATCATGGTTATGATGATAGAGGAGGATGGATCCTGGTGGTAAGATGGGTGAAAGTGGCAATGTCATATTAGAAGGATATGCAGAAGCTAAATTACAGAGAGTACCAGTAAGTAACTGGGACTCTATTGTCTAGCAGATAGCAGCCACAGAGATTTTATAAGCATGGCTGACATGGTTATATCAGTGTTTTAAGATAATCATCCTGAAAACAGTATGGAGGTGAAGGACTGTTAAGAGGCTGTTTAAACTCTCCTGGAGGCCTGGGCTAAGGCTATGACATATTGATGGAGACGAAGACACAGGCTGGAGACATTCCAAGGAAGTCCATCACCCGGTCTACTGCCTGATTGCATGTGTGGTTTAGAAAGACGATGCCACAGTTCCTAGTTTGGGCAAATTTGTAGCTGATGGGCTATAAACAAAATGTTGGCTGACAGAGACTTTTCATGACCCTTGCAGTTATTTCCTAAGGATGGAGATTATTCCACAGAACCTTAATTTCTTTAAAAAGTGCTATCTGAGACATGGCAGTAGGGTAGAACTTGGCCAAATGAAAGAAAAACTTTATTTTCTTTGTTAATCAGTACTTCACAGCATGAGAAAGTTCAGCATAAACCAATTATAATTCAGTATCACTGAACTGGGTGAAATGAAAAAATAAGCAGAGACCAGGTGGTGTCAGCACAAAATGAATTCAGAAGAACAATGTTTATGTCTGTTTTAAAAAACCAAGAAGAGCCCAATACTGGAATCCAGGATAAATTAACTCTGTTCCTGTTTCCTCAGTTAAATTCTGTCAATCTGAGTTCTAAAAAAATAGCCTAAAGTATTTGTCTGTCTGCCTTATTGGCTCTTCCAAACATATTATTTCAAAGGACAGATTTTATTTAAATATAGAAAGTCTCAAAATCATGGCACGCTAGAATTATATGAGAGAAAATAATAATAGCTCACCTTTGTTTTGCATGGAGTTTTTCTTAAAGCACTTTTACTTGTCTTAATCTCATTATCAGAAAAGTAGACAAGGCAGAAGGTATTTTTCTCACTTTGCACACAGTAAAACTGATGCACACACTTTGGGAGGCTGAGGTAGGTGGATCACCTAAGGTCAGGAGTTTGAGACCAGCCTGGACAACATGGCGAAACCCCCTTTCTACTAAAAATACAAAAATTAGCTGGGTATGGTGGCATGTTCGGGAGACTGAGACAGGAGAATTGCTTGAACCCGGGAGGTGGAGGTTGCAGTGTACCGAGATTGCACCACTGCACTCCAGCCTGGGCGACAGAGCGAGACTCCATCTCAAAAACAAAACAAAACAAAACAAAAAACCAAAAACACCAATGCACAGAGAGATTAGGGGTCTTGTCCAAGGCCACACAGCTTACCAGTGTCAGAGGTAGATCCCAGGACTTCCAGGTTATAGCCACTGTTACTTTGCTTCTCATGGAGGCTGAGGCCTAAGGCGGCAGTCACAGGAAGTAGAGAATAGTTAAGTATGGGAATTAAGCACAAGGCTTTGGAATCAGTGTCCAGGATTTACATCTGCATCTACCACTTACTTACTGTGGGACCTTGAGCAAATTAATTGGGTTTTATGAGTCTCAGTTTCCGTATCTATGAACTGGAGATGAGCACTACCTCTCGTGCTTGTTGAGAAAATCAAATGAGGCAGTGATAGAACTAACACGCTTTCTCAGTTCAGGGTCTGGGGCATTTGTAATCTCCCACAAATGGTGACTACTGTTATTAATTAAGTGGATACCCTCTGGAGTGGCTTTTGACTCACAAAGAATTTTGGAGACTGACCCTCAATATGCACGGATGGGGTGAGCCCCCCAGTAGCTTGTGTTCCTACTCATAGCTGATGCAGTGATGGGTAAACACGTGACCCACACTGAGCTAATCAGAGGTTTTCCCTTGGATTTCAAGCCCAAAGGAGAGAATGGGTCTCTCTGTAGCTGTGAAGCATAAGGCTCCAGAACTGAGGGCAACCAAGCTCCCACCACATGGAACAAGAAAGAGTCCATGGGCAGAGAGTTAGACAAGAAGGGCAGAGGGTCTTAGCAGGCATCGTTCCTGAGGGCCAGGTGGATTCCTGCCTTTCTTATGCCTGAGTGCTCAAGATTTCCTTCATTATATTGGTCAATTCTGACATATCTACCATAAGCTCTCCCTTTGACCTCTTCATTTTTTCCTGAACCTCAACAAGAAGTTGAGCTCTTGTCATTTACAGATAAGAGTCTGGATTAATGCAATTATTGTTTGCCAGTCTTGATTATTTACTTCTGGTGGGACTAGAAAGTCCTTGGAAATAGAGGCACAAGATGATTCCAGAAATCAGGCAGAAAGAATAGAGTTTGGATGCTGGCACACTGCTTACTAGATGTGTGACCTCAGACAGATTCCTTCACCTTCTGGTACCATAGTTTCTTCCTCTGTAGAATGGAGTTCTACCTGAAAATATCTGGCACCCAGATATTTTCAACAAATATTAGCGCCTTTTCCCTCTCCTTTTCACTTCTCTTCCCTTCTGTGACAACGTAGTCACATCAGAACAAATCTTCCACTCTGACCTACATGAGGGTTTGTCATCAGAATAATGTTCCTCAGTAGTATTATTTTTTATTACCAATTCCACTCCCTTTAACATTCCCACTTTGTCTTGGTCTTTCCTTTACCCCCTAGTCCCCATAACACATACAAGTGCTTGCAGTTTCCCAAACATATCATGTTCTCTCTCATCTCTGGATCTTTGCATGTTTAATTTCTTCTCTGTGCACTAGTCAATCCTTCATCCATCAAATTCTTTTGCATCCCTCTGTTGTCCGCTCAAATATTCTTCTTCTAGAAAGTGTTCTCTGACCACCTTCCACCCTCAGGCTAGGTAAGCCGCCCTTTCTCTCTTCTTCCATTGCAGTGTTTTACCCTATCATGCCACTGAACCATACTCTATGATTAGTTACCTGCTTTACTTCTGTCTTTCTCTCCTATTTTTCCCCAGCTTATCTCCCACAGTTGCCTAGTTAATACTTCTTCAGGAAACTTTCTTTGACTTCAATGAAAATACCAGCACCCCTCTCCACCACCCATTTTACCCACTAATGGTTAAAACTCATTACTGTGTGAGGGTCTCTCACGAAGGTCAGTCTCTGGTTTTCGCTCACCCCTTTGGCATCAGCACCTTGCACATAGTTGGTCCTTGAACATATTCATTGACTGACTAACCTATAGAACAAAGGAATCTCTGAATTCTGTAGAACTAGCATAGGGCCTGTGGCACAGAAGGTACTTGCCACTGCCCCATGCTGCCTGCCAAAATGTGGGCAAAACAAAAAACAATAGGCTTTTGTGGAACACAAGACAAAATGGTGGCAAAAATAAGGTAATTCTTTTTTTTTTTTTTTTTTTTTGATGGATTCTCGCTCTGTTGTCAGGCTGGAGTGCAGTGGCATGATCTTGGCTCACTGCAACCTCCGCCTCCCAAATTATGGTAATTCTAACTGACCATTGGATTGACAGTTTTGAGGTGATGGGGAAAGAATGGAGGTTTGAGGATCAGAGAGTCTGGGTAGGAATTCTGGCTTGACCACTTATTCTTGGTATGATAGGAAAGCAATGTAACTTTTCTGATCTGAAATTCAGTTTTGTCTCTGTACAATGGTAAAGAGAAATGGTAGTGAAGTTATG
The DNA here is from genome assembly GCF_000001405.40 of Homo sapiens. Classification (NCBI taxonomy): domain Eukaryota; kingdom Metazoa; phylum Chordata; class Mammalia; order Primates; family Hominidae; genus Homo; species Homo sapiens. The sequence continues at coordinate 56,230,947 of NC_000001.11, read as the reverse complement.
ACATACTATATGTAACACGTTGCCTGTAGAACAAGCATTCAACTATGACTGCTGTAACCCAGATAGTTTTTACCCATACATAGCCAACTGGGCCTTGGCATCTAGATGATCTTCTTCATTTTTCACTCTGTTTGGAACTGTTGTAGCCTCCTAATAAGCAGGCAAATTTTCCACCAACTCCAACCATGGATTTGTCATGAAAGACTGTTTACTGAACTGGAACCACTTTGGCTATATGCACCAATGACCAACATGTCTCTGTGGAAAGAAGCTGAGACTTAAATTCTTTATACTCTAAGTGTTCAGAATGAAAAGAGATCCAAATGATTAAAGGCTCCAGAAACCCAGAGACTGTAAAAGTGAGCTGTAAAAGAAAGAATGGTTCATCATGGATTTTACTACTCCAGGTTCCATGGAGGATGTAGTTGGTCCAGGCCACCAAATGTGTGAGGGATTTTATCACTGGGCAAGCTGCACATTGTCTCTCTCTGGACAGAGCCAGGTTCTTAGGATTCAGAAGGAGTGCCGAGGCTTGTCTCCCACAGATTAGGCTATGGGAGATTAGGAAGGCCACTAAGCATTGATAGATGGAGACAGCATACATTGTATAGCTGTGCATTTGCCTGTGCTGTTTTTTTCTGCCCAGAACACTGTTCCCAACTTCACCCCACATACGAAGCTCTTGCACATTTTATGGAAGGCAGCAGACCAATAGTCAATAAAGAGCATGGGCTTAGGAATCAAACTGTCTTGGGTTTGAATCCTGACCTTGCCGTCTCCTAGCTGTGTGGAAAGTGACTCATCTCTCTACACCTATTTCTCTGTCTTATAAACAAAAAAAACCAATGGGTAGTGGTATTCTACTTATCTGAGAAGGTGTTGTGAAGATTAAATGAGACAATGCATATAAAGTGTTTAACACATTGTAATGCTAATAAATGATAGCAACGTTTACTCATTCTTGATTCTCAGCTCAGCTCTCTCTCTTCTTCGTAACTGGTGGCCTCAAACACTCCTCTTTAATGTTCTCACTGCTTTTTGTCCAACCCTCCATCATAGCACTTTCCACATTCTATTGTAACAGCCAGATTTTACAATTCAAGCCTTATTAATCAGGAGCTTAGGATATGTTTTCATATCAACCACCTCAATCTATGACTTCAGCTTATCTTCTCCACCCCCTCTCCTCTTCCTATGAATTATTTATCAATTTATAAAATGAGGCTATTGGGCAACTCTTTATGGTTTCTTGCAACTTCAAGCTTTCTAAAAACTTGAACCAAATTATGACGGGAGGCTAATGACCCCCCCCTTCCCAAATCACAATATCTTTCCTTCTGGAACATTTATTATTTATACACCAGTAAGCCTAGATCAGCCATTTTTCAAAAGAGTGGCACAAAGTGAATTCTCCATCGGGGAAACAAACGACCAATTGAAAGAGATTTCACGCCTGAATGCTCTCATTCTGCTCATGCCTGGACATCATGGCTGCTACCTTTCTGTACATTATCAAGGGAACTGGGGTTTGTCACTTGCACCAGACTCTGGCCTCTCCCAGAGAACCTCCAGAGAAGGCCTCAGCGGTTACCGTAGAAACGTCTTCCTTCCTGGATGCAGACCCACGAAGGCTCAGGCAGCCACGACCCAAGAGGGGCCTTGTTTAAACAGGAAAGAGCAGACAGTTTAATGGGTAGCTTTGCAGCTCAGATTCCTACACAGTTTACAGTAGTTGGAGTAATAAATTCATAATGAATGTTTCTTTATTTTACAGCTAACTTTTTATGTTTGTTTTCTTCTTCTTTTTCTTTCTTTTGTTGTTTTTTCTGAACATTATCCAACTGATGGTAGGCAGTGATGGTTTTTATTTTTTCATTTTTAATTGCTAGAAAAATAATATAGAGAAAGATTGTGCTTTATGGACATTTATCTCATTAATTCTTCATGATATTTCTATGACATTTGTAATTATTGTTAATACTTGATAAAATTGAGAAAATTAAGAGTCAAATAGTTTAATTTACCAACCCAGGGACACATGGCTATTTGTACAAAGTGGAACTTTCAAACGGATAACCACAAAAATCCATTTTGGCTTCATTAATAAGTTAGGAATTAAAAGTGGAATTTTCCATAAGTAAAGACCATTTGTAATTTGAGCCACAAAAAGTGTAACATCTAGCTGTCAGGTACATTAATTAGTTACTATTTCAAGGAAATAGTCAAAGAAGCCAATTATTACATTTTCTTTTGGAGAATTTTGTCCTCGGTTGCCTTTGGAAACTTGAGACCTCACAATTTCTCAGAAAGTATACAGTGCACGGTTGAAACCAAAGTAAGATCTAGAATAGTCGCTGACCACCTGTCATGTATCAGGTACTTTACCCATGCTACCTTCTTTAACTACTAATAACCCTATGGAGTAGATACTACTATATCCGTTTTACTGATACTGTAAATAGAGCTTCGGAAAGGTAAAAGATAAGTTATTCAATGTCAGGGTTAATTTTTTTTTTTATTTTCAAGCTCAGTGCTTTGCTGGAACATCATATTTTGTCTTCCCAAAGGAAATTCTTATGAGAAAAATGAAGAGCTATTGTCTCAAGATAGATGTGATTTCTTTAAATGTAGGAAGCCTTAGCTTCTTACACCTCAGGCCCAATTCCTTAGTAGATGACCTGCCTTTGAGACTTAAAGGCGGGTATACTGACTGCCTTTAAATGCCTCTGGTATACTGCAGTATCCAGTGGGCACTGTGGATAGGGACTGAACTCACTCTCACATTCATGGAGTAGGAAAATAGCAGTTATTACCCTGGAAAGGTCCCAGGAAAGAGCAGGCAGCTGCGGGGAGTTATGAACTGTGAGAACTGCCTGGAGCCAGGATGGCAGGTCATTTTAAAAGCCAATGGAGAGTTTTATCAGGCCATGGAGAGTTTTAATTGGTGGAGACACTCTTATACTCAGGATAGTTAACTGTCCTCTACTGTGCTCAGTAAACCAAGAACAAGAAAATTTGTGTGTGTGTGTGTGCGTGTGTGTGCCTCTGTGTGTGTGTGTGTGTGTGTGTGTGTGTGTGTGTAGAAGAGAAGAGTAGAGATTTGGGGGCAGGTTTTATTGAAAACGACCTGTGGATTTATCCCACATGTCCAGAACCCATACTAAATATGAATCAGCATTTGCCGAATAAATGATGAGTAAATGGGTGAATTATAGTAAATAAAGATAGGAAGGGAAGTGGCAGATCACAAAGTTTAAGAGCACCATAAACCTTCCTCTCTGCACTCAGTTGCCCTGAAGCAAGGCATATTGGAAAATCTCCAAGCTCCCCATTCTGTCCCAAGACTTTGTGCCTTCACACAGTCCTGATCTTTCCAGGATGTCTTCATCAATCCTCCACCCCAGACCTTATTCACATGGTAGATGCCTTCCTTTTTCTTCTAGAATCTTTCTCTTCTAGGAGGTCTCCTTTTCCTTCCCCATTTTCCTACTTTGTTGTACATACCTCCCTGAGAGCAAAGCAAGATTGTGTTGTCTATTTGATATTTGTGTACCTTAATTTGCACTACAATATGGACTCCTGAAAGGGAGAGATAAGAGCTTTTTTGTCTTTAACACTTAGTATATTTTCTTTCACACAAGAAGTGCTCAATGAGTATTTGTAAATGAATGAAAGAATCAATGAATGAACACACTAGGCAAATCCTCTTACTTCAATCAGTAGCCTAATCTGAAAATAGAAAAGGTACTGTGCTTGCACAGAGAATATTGACATGGGGTTCAGGGGATGGGGTTGAAATCGGACATTGCCCACCAACTTACTGGCTGATTTTGGGAAAGTAACTTACCATCTCTCAGCCTCACATTACCTGTGGGTAATATGAAAGAGTTGGATTACATGATGGTTAGTGCCCTACAACCACCAGCATTCTAGAACTTACAGTTTTAGCAAGAGTCTAGGTAGATTAGAAGCCATCTCCATGTCCTAGTTGTTACTATGAAGGCCACACCACTGAACTTGTGTTTTGCAGTGCATTGGTCCCACAAAATATTTTTAGGTCTTCTGCAAAAGGGAACTATAGTCAGTACCTGGAAATGGTAGACAGAACAAAATTAAGGATGTGCTCTGCTGCAGGTGTTCTTGGTTCACTTAATATGCAGATGGACATTGGGTCACTTTAAAATGGACATATTATATTTGGTATTGACTAGTGAATACTCTGTGGAATGAGTATTATGTAGAAGTGTTGGAAAAGCCCTGTGCTAATGTGTAAGAAGATCTCACCACTGCCAAGATTCTAGAAACTCCAGATTTTGACACAGACTGAGTTAGAATAAGGAAGCTGTTAGTAATGAACAAAGTTATGGTTTTTGTGTGGTATCAGAGTGGGCAGGAAGGCAGAGTTAGGGCTCTGGGATGGTTGGACTATGTATCTGACTGATTCATTCTTCTCCCTAATGCTTGAGTTAACATGGGGATCTAGATTTGATATAGACCCTAGAAAACCTTCACTTGCAAGTAGAGTGAAAGAACCATGGAATATGGTGAGTAAGCAGAAAAGGACTAATCATTATTGAACATCCACTGAATACTACATCTCATTTAATTCTCACAACAAATTCAAGAGATAGGTGTTACTGTGCCATTTTACAGCTGAGGTGATTGAAGCAAAAATAAGTTCAAAAATATGCCCAAGGTCATACATACAATAGACGGCAGACCTACAATTTGAACTTTGGTCTTTTGGGTTCCAAGGCCTGAACTCTTCCATTACAACATGACTACATGGCTATCATAGAAGAGCACTTTTTAAAAAAATGTGTTTGTTTTGGCCATGCTTTTGTTGACCATTGCTCATTTATCCTCCTCTGTTGCCTATGAGCCTCATACTTCTCCTATGTAAAATGAGAATAGTAATTTCTCTATTTCATGGAAGTTGTAGTGAGGATAGAATGAACATATTTTCTTCCTTCCTCATATTTTCCTTCCTCATTCAATTCTTTAAACAGAGGCACACTTAAAGTTGAGCATATCATTTGTTTTTATGCAATAGGGTCAATACTAAGCAAGTTGATGTTTAATGTAACTTACAGTTCCCATAATTTCCCATGAATATTTGGAAAATATGCTCACATTGCTTGTTTTAATAAAGTACATAAGTCAAGTAGATGGTCATCAAATGTAAAAATCACTCTCCTCTCTCTGAGTGGGTTATAGGCACAAGTAACAAACTTTGTCTTATTTATGTTATAAATAAAATTTATGAGGGAAAAAAAGAGCTCAGAGAGACTGATGCTATATACATTCATTTTTTAGCTGTCCTTGTCAGTGAAGCTTGTGAATGAGAGAAACTCTTGTCTGTCGTCCTCAGGATGCAATAAGCCTTGTGATTAATTCAGGTGAAATAACTCTTGTATTTCCTGAGTGAAACTCAGTAATCCAATTGACTTAACACTTTTTTGTTTTGCTTTTTGTGGGGGCAAACTTGGTGGCTGGGTTTCACCTGACTTTGGAGTTACACTATCGTTGGGCTTTTAGAGCATTGCCTTTAAGTGGATGTTAAGAAGCTGACTGAGCCGGGCGCAGTGGCTCAGGCCTGTAATCCCAGCACTTTGGGAGGCCAAGGCGGGCGGATCATGAGGTCAGGAGATCGAGATCATCCTGGCTAAGACGGTGAAACCCCGTCTCTCCTAAAAATACAAAAAATTAGCCGAGTGCCGCGGCGGGCGCCTATAGTCCCAGCTAGTTGGGAGGCTGAAGCAGGAGAATGGCCTGAACCTGGGAGGCGGAGCTTGCAATGAGCCAAGATAGAGCCACTGCACTCAAGCCTGGGCGACAGAGTGAGACTCTGCCTCAAAAACAAACAAACAAACAAAAAGCTGACCGAAAGAGAATGGAAGTAGAAATCCTTCACGTGTCGTTGGGACAGTAATGTGGGTTGTTATTAGTGTCTACCATTATTGAGGGTAGAAGATGAGGTAGGTTGACTATCATGGCCTGACTCTAATCTCATTTCAAACCTCTGCTCAATCTTTGTGCAGTTACATGGGAGTCACCTTCTTTATGAAGTAGTCCCTGGCTAGCTCTTCCCATATGTGTCCTAACATCAGGAGGATTTTGTATCCTGATTTCGGAATTTCAAATAACATAACTCTCTCTACAATCATAGCATCTCTTTCTCATTGACACACACATTTCCCATGGTACTTACTCCTTCATGGGCAAGGGCCATACCTGATTTTACTCTGTGTTCCCAGGGTGTGGCGCAGGGCCTAGCATGCTGTAATGTTGGAAATAATAACACCTAACATTTCCTGAATGCTTAATGATCCCAGGCACTCTTTTAAGTGTTTAATATGGATTAATTCACTTGATCTTCACAACTTTATGGGGTACAGATTAATGTCATTTCCATTTTATAGGTGAAGAAACCAAGGCAACATATGACTAAGTGACACATTTGAGAGAGCCCAGGGAGTGGAGGTCAGAATTCAGAGTTGGGCACAGAGGATCCAGAGCCACCTTCTTGGTTATCGCACGGTACTGTCAAAAGTTGGGTTCTCTGAAGAAGAGATGGAGATAAAGTTTGTGATGGGATGTGTTTACTAGAGATTGACAACATCTGTGAGGAAGCAAGATCAGGCAGAGGGAGTGCTGCAGTAGATATTATTAATGAGAGTTGATCTGACTTAGGCTTAGATGACTGGAGCTTTACACCCTTGCTTTGCTTAGTCGTCATACATGGGCTGCTCTAAGGAAGGGTGTGACCTTGGGCAAAGCCGCTCCTTCTAGCTAACTCACAGTCCCAGATGTTGCTGGCAGCTGGAGGCTGTGTGTTCATCACACTCTTCATAGCTGGTCAAGTCCTTCCTTGAAAGGAATATGAACAGCTCATACCCTTGTCAACCATATATCATAGTCTGTCAGAGGAAATATAATAACCATTTGTTAAATTAACAGAATGTTTATTAGTTATAATAACTATAATAATGACTGTAACTTCTTGGGTAGTTACTAGGTACCATATAAATATGGCTACAATTTATTGAGTCATTAATCATCATTAGAATACACTGAGATTAACACTATGTTACATAACCTCATTTTACTACTTATAAAATAGAGATCTACTGAAGTTAACATGTCCAAGATTCTATAATGAATAAGTGGGAGAGCTGTGATTCTCTCCGAGTCCATCTGACACTGGAGTCCACACTCCTAACCTCTAGGTATGTATTTCCTCAAATTGATTGTTGTGAGCTTCTCTGGAGCAGAGACCATCAGTTTCGTGATGAATAGCAATACTAATGCCTGACACATAGTATGGACTGAGTATATTTTTGTCGAATGAATGATTAGTTGGTCTTCCATTAAAAATAATTTAATAATTTAGCAACTTTTATTGAAAACAATCAAGCATTTTATCAGGCATATAAAGCCATTAAAGTTATAAATCTTTATTTAACAAGTCTAGTCAAAGCTAAGAATCATTGGTGAAAAGAACAGGAAGAACACATGCAAGCACACACACACAGAGACACAAAGTGTGCAGAGGTGGCTAGCTGGCACATTGAGCAAATCAATCAAGGTAAATGAGAGGCTGCATGCTCTTATAGAAAGAGCATTGGCCTAGAATTAGAGAAGTTTTAATTGCAGGCATTTCACTCAAGTGAGTTTGTCATTGACAAGTCACTTCACTATTCTTATTTTTGAAATGAGGAATTAAGTGTGGGAGATGATCCTCAAGTTTCCTTTATTACTGACATGCTGTAATTCTTAGAACTTATTTGGAAGTGACAGCAGGCATTTTGTGAAGGAACAGAGAGTGGAACTAGAACTGGTGGGTGTAGATACATGAAGAAAATTTCAGTTTCATATGATCAAGTATATTCTAAAGAACAGCATTGTGAGGAAGTGATTCCTCCTTAATTAAAAGTGTTTAAGCAGAAGCTGACCTCTGCTTAACACCATGCTGAGGAGCTCTGGGTGGGCTCTCTGTGTTGGGTCAAAGGCTGGATGAGATTCTCATAAAGGTCAATGAAATCTAGGAGCCTGTGGCTGTAAAAGGCAACAAATAATCTCAGACATCATCAAAGTGTCAAAGAGAGCAGAGTGACAGATTATAGCCTGGGACATAGTAGCTGCTCAATAAATATCTTGAAAGAATGAATATTTAAAATCGTTTAATAATAAATGAGTACTTAAGAGTAGGGTTGAATATAATTGATATATACAACCTCAGATAGCTTGAAGTTAAAATGATAATATTGATGTGAATGTGTTTTGCAAATTGGAAATGTCATAGTTTGGGTTTCCCCAAAAAAACAAAAACAAAAACAAAACAACAACAACAACAACAACAACAACTGTGCCTGAGACAAAGATTAAGGTGCACTTAATATTGTTGCATTCCCAGTAATTAAAAAAGTTAATAAAAATTGCTGAGTACCTATAATAGGTCCTAAATAGATAGTATCCATAGCAACTATTCCTACTAAAGAGTGAGGATTTTCCTGAGGATAAAGGAGCTCTAGGCAGAGGAAAAAGTATTTCAAAAGGACTGAATGTAACAGAGTAATTGGCATTCTCTAGGAAAGAAAGATATTTTTATTTCCAGCCTAGTCATGGGGAAATTGAGTAAGCCTAGAAAACTAGGCAAGTGAAGATTATAAAGGTTTTGTGAGCCATATCTGAGATTGGACAAATTTAAATATATTGAACTAATGCAAAATATCCTTAAAACTGTGTAGAAAATGACAAAACTGAAGTCAATAAAAGATCAAGAGAGTAAAAAGAGTTAAATTCAAATGATAAAAGTGCCCATGAAGAGCAGAAACTCAGGCATGAATAATATTTAAGCTTGAAAGACATTTTTTACACAAAATGCAGGGAAAGTTAATCTAAAAAGAATTGTGCCTTGTCTTTCATTTTCTTCATCTTTTTTTTTTTTTTTTTTTTTTTTTTTGAGATGGAGTTTTCTCTTGTTGCCCAGGCTGGAGTGCAATGGCGTGATCTTGGCTCACCGCAACCCCTGCCTCCTGGGTTCAAGCGATTCTCCTGCCTCAGCCTCCCGAGTAGCTAGAATTACAGGCATACGCCACCATGCACAGCTAATTTTGTATTTTTTAGTAGAGATGGGGTTTCTCCATGTTGGTTAGGCTGATCTCAAACTCCCATCCTCAGGTGATCTGCCCACCTCAGCCTCCCAAAGTGCTGGGATTACAGGCGTGAGCCATCACGTCCAGCCTCATTTTCTTCTTTTTTCTTTCCTTTTTTTCTTTTCCTTTGTTCTTTCTTCCCTCTCTTCCTCTCTCTCACTCTCTCTTTCAACAATATCAAACATGTTGGAAATGAGCCACAAATTATAAATTTTAATCTGACCTTCTACTGTTGGAGATTCCCTATCAGTAAATGCATTTGTAATTTATACAAAATAAACATATGTAAATTTGAAGTTCAGAGGCAGGTTTATATCTATGTAGTGCACACTAAAAGCATCTTAGAAGGAAAGAAAAGGACTTAGGTGATGTTTAGGAATTATTATGTTTGAATATAAAGGACAGCTATCAACAGCACTTTAGTGATTACAGAAATCCCAATCTGATGCTGAAATATTGAGTTCCTTAGAGTGTCTTGAAGGTGCCATGCTGCTTCATGCCTCTGTGCTTTTGCATATATTCCTTCCCCAGACTGAATACCCAACAGCCAGCCTTAGCTGAGCACCAACTTCACCTATCCAGCTAATATGTGCATATTTTGTCTTGTTTATAGCCCCACAGTACCCTGTACTTACGTTAGCATTGCCCTGAGCCCAGTGCTTCTCAATCTTTAATGTGTACAGGAATACCCCAGGACCTTGTGAAAATGCAGATTATAATTCAGTAGGTCTGGGATAGGACCAATATTCTGCATTTTTAACATTCTTTTAGATGACGATAATGATGTTGGTCCTTGAACCACACTTGGAGTGACAAGGTCATGGCTCACACCATAGCAATAATTAGATTACTTGTCTGTTTTGACTGTTAAAACCAAGAATTTTTTTTATTCCTATTGCATAATATAAGTCTGGCACAGAATAAGATACTCAGTAAATTTCTGGTGAATGAATACATAACTATTATCTCAATAATTCACTATAATAACCTAAATTACTAGTATTACTACTAGCCTTTTTCTTTTTCTAAGGAGAAAAAATGACTCAGAGAAGTTAAATAACTAGTTAGAAAGTGATGGAATGAGAACTCCAACGCAGCTCTACTAACTCAAAGTCTTGTGTGCTATTCACTCTGTCACTTGCCTTCCAAAATGCAAACACAATGCAGGTTAGATCTGAGGAGTGGAGAGGCTTAGAAAACTAATAAAATACAACTATTCCTAATGTCTTGTTTAAGAGATTGGAACTTTAAAATTTTAGCCTCAGAGAATACAGACAATATAGAGTTG